>NC_000006.12:16878181-17029696 GCF_000001405.40 Homo sapiens
TATTTTTGCTCTTTTTTTGGCTCCACATGAATTTTACAATAGTCTTTTCTAGTTCTGTGAAGAATGTCATTGGTAGTTTGATAGGAATAGCATTGAATCTGTGAATTGCTTTGGGCAATATATAGCCCTTTTGATGATACTGAGTCTTCCTGTCCATGATCATGGGATGTTTTCCATTTATTTGTGTCTTCTCTGATTTCTTTCCACAGTGTTTTGTAATTCTCACTGTAAAGATCTTTCACCTCCCTGGTTAGATGTATTCCTAGGTATTTTATTCTTTTTGTGGCAATTATGAATGAGACTGCCTTCCTAATTTGGCTCTTGACTTGGCTATTGTTGGTGTATAGGAAATCTAGTGATTTTTGTACACTGATTTGGTATCCTGAAACTTTGCTGAAGTTGTCTACCAGCTGAAGGAGCCTTTGGGCCAAGGATATGGGGTACTTTTCTTTTGTTGCTTGTACCATTGGTGTCATATATAAGAATCCACGATTCCAATCTAAGAATTCAAAGTCATGAAGATGTACTACTGTGTTTTCTTCTAAGAGTTTTACTATATTAGTTCTTAAAATTAGGTTTTATATCTATTTTGAACTAAATTTTGTATATAGTGTGAGGTAGGGATCTGACTTCATTCTTTTCTATATGGATATTCTGTTGTCCCACTAGCAATTGTCAAAAAATGATTTTTTTCCTTATTGAAGTTTCTTGGTACTCCTGTTGAAAATCAATTGACCAAAAGCATGAGAGTTTAATTCTATGCTCTCAATTCTATGATTCATGTGATAGACATACAATCCATATGTTTATTCTTTTGCCAGTACCACTTTGTCTTGATTACTGTTGCTTTGTAGTAAGTTTTGAAATCAGGGACTGTGAGTTTTCCAATTTTGTTCTTCTTTTTCAAGATTGTTTTGGCTATTCCTGGTCACTTGCAATTCCATATGTATTTTAGAATCAGCTTGTCAATTTTTACAAAGAAGCCAGCTGGGATTCTGATAGAGATTGCATTAAATATGTAGCTCAATTTTGGGAGCATTGCCATCTTAAAAATATTACATCTTCCTATCCATGAACACGTGGTATTTTTTATTTATTTAGATCTTCTTTAATTTCTTTCAACAATGTTTCATAATTTTTAGCATATAAGTTTTGTGCTTCTTTTGTTAAAAATTTCTTAAGTAGTTTATTTTTATACCATTATAAATGGAATCATTTTCTTAATTTTATTTTCAGGTTGCTCATTGCAAGTGTGTAGAAATACAATTGATTTTTGTATATTTTTTTTATCCAGAAAACTAGCTGAATTTATTAGTTCTTATAGTGTTTCAGTGTATTACAGAACATATTCTATGTCAAGATCATGTCATCTGTGAATAGAGATAATTTTAATTTTTCCTTTCCAATTTGGATGAATTTTATTTCTTTTTCTTGCTTAATTGACCTAGCTAGAACTTCTAGTACAATGTTGATTGGAAGTGGCAAGACTGAACATTCTTAATTTGGTTCTGATTTTAGGGGGAAAGCATCCAGTCTTTCACCATTAAATATAATGTCAGCTATGGGTTTTTCATAAGTGCCCTCTATCAGGTTAAGAAAGTTTCCCTCCATTTATATTTGTGTTTTTCAAGCTATCATTTTTAGTTTAATTCCACTATGGTATGAGAACATACATTGGATGATTTCTATTATTTTAAATTTGTTAAGATATGTTTTATGGCCCTGAATGTGGTCTATCTTGGAGAATGTTCTATGTGAACTTGAGAAGAATGTGTATTGTGTTCTTGTTGGAGGAAGTGGTCTATAGATGTCAATTATATTCAATTAATTCACTGTGGTGATGTGTTCAACTATGTCCTTACTAATTTTCTGCCTGATGGATCTGTCCATTTCTGATAGATGGGTTTTGAAGTCTCCAACTCTGCTGGTGGATTCAAATACTTCTCCTTGCAATTCTATCAGTTTTTGTTCCATGTGTTTTGCCTCTCTGTTGCTAGGTGCATACACATTAAGAATTTTTATGTTGGCTGGGCATGGTGGCTCACGTCTGTAATCCCAGCACTTTGGGAGGCCAAGGCAGGCAGATCATGAGGTCAGGAGATCGAGACCATCCTGGCTAACATGGTGAAACCCTGTCTTTACTAAGAATATGAAAAGTTAGCCGGATGTGGTGGCAGGCGCCTGTAGTCCCAGCTACTCGGGAGGCTGAGGCAGGAGAATGGCGTGAACCCGGGAGGCGGAGCTTGCAGTGAGCCAAGATCACACCACTGCATTCCAGCCTGGATGACAGAGGACAGAGCAAGACTCTGTCTCAAAAAAAAAAAAAAAAAAAAAAAAAAAAAAAAAAAAAAAAAAAATTGTTATGTGTTCTGGAGAAATTGGCCGCTTTTTTATTACATAATGCTCCTCTGTGTTCCTCATAATTTTCCTTACTTTGATCTGTCTGAAATTAGTATATTCTACTTTAGCTTTCTTATAATTAATGTTAGTATAATTTTCTCTATCCTTTTACTTTTCATCTGTATGTGTCTTTGTATTTAAGGTGGATTTCTTGCAGGCAACATATAGTTGGGTCTTGTTTTTTGCTCTAATCTGACAACTTCTGTTTTCTAAAGGGTGCATTTAGACCATTGATGTTTAAAGTGATTATTGAAATAGTTAGATTAATATCTGCCATATTTGTTACAGTTTTCTATTTGTTCCCCTTTTTCCTTTTCCTAGTTTCATCTTCACTCTTTTTCTGCCTTTGTAGTTGAGCATTTTATATAATTCTACTTTTTCTCATTTCTTAGTATATATATTATACTTCTTTTTTTACTTTTTAAAGTGAGTATCCAAGATTTTCCAATATACATTTACAACTAATCAAATTCCACTTTTGAGTAACATTATGCTGATTCACACGTAGAGCATACCTCATAATAAGAAAACATTCCCAATTCCTCCCTCCCATTTCTTGTGTCATTTCTGTCATTCATTTCACTCATACATAAGCTATAACCATCAAATACATTGCTGCTAATATTATTTTGCACAAACTTTCATCTGTTAGATCAATTAAAAATAAGCAAAATAAAAGCTTCTATTTTATCTTCACTTATTTCTTTTCCAGCGCTCTTCTTTTCTTTATGTAGATTCAAGTCTCTAACTTATACCATTTTCCTTCTCTCTGAAGGACTTTTTTTTTTTTAACATTTCTTTCAAGGCAGTTCTACTGGCAACACATTCCCTCAAATTTGTTTGTCTGAGAGTCTTTTTTTCTCCTTTACTTGTGAAGGATCATTTTGCAGGATACATATTTCTAGGTTTGTGGATTTTTTTTTCTCTCGATACTTTAAATATTTCACTCCACTCTCTTCTTGCTTGCGTAATTTCTGAGGCTCCATAAGATTTAATTCTCATATTTGCTATACTGTAGGTAGGGTGTCCCTACCCTCCCCTGGGCATCTTTCAAGATTCTTTTTTTCTCTTTGATTCTCTGAAGTTTAAAAACAACATGCCTAGACGCAGTATTTTGGGCATTTGTCCTGAGCATTATGGATCTGCAGTTTGGCATCTGACATTAACTTGGGGAAAATTATCAGTCATGATTACTTCAATTATTTCTTCTGTTCCTTTTTCTCTTTGTTTTCCTTCTGATAGTTCCATTATGTTACACCTTTGGTAGTTGTATCACAGTTCTTGAATATTCTGTTCTTTTCTTTAATCAGTCTTTTTCGTTTTTGCTTTTCAGTTTTGGAAGTTTTTACCGACATATCCTCAAGATCAGAGAGTCTTTCTTCAGGTGTTCCAAATCTAATAAAACGTCTACTTTCATTTCTGTTTCAGTATTTTTGACCTCTAGCATTAAAAAAAAAATTCTTTCTTAGAATTTCCATCTCTCTACTTATAGTACTCATCAGTTCTTACATGTTGTCTACTTTTTCCATAAGAGGCTTTAGCAATATTAATCATAGTTGTTATTAATTCCCAGTCTGATAATTCCAACATCCCTTCCATATCTGACTCTGGTTCTAATGCTTGCTCTGTCTCATAAACCAAGTTTTTTGCCTTTTAGTATGCCTTGTAATTTTTGTTCCAAGTTGAACATGATGTATGAGCTAAAAGGAACCTTCGTAAATAGGTCTTCAATGATGTGGTGGTAAGTTGTAGGGGCTGAGGGAATAGGAAGTGTTCTAGAGTCCTGTGATTTAGTCTCAGACCTTTGATGAACCTATGCTGGTGGGCTGTGAATTTCACAAGTGCTTTTCAGTTTCCTCCACCCCTCCTTCTTCTGAGATGGGACAGGAGGTCAACAGTGGGTATTTCCTTTCCCCCACATGGATAGTTTGAGAGGGCTGGAGTTCAGTTTCCCCTTCCCCCAGGTCTTTTGGGTTCTAACAAAATCCTAGCAGATTAGACTCTGGTAAAATAGTTTCTCTTGATGGCAGGTCTTGTTAAGAACAGAATTCTCTGATGTATTTCAAAATGATGGTTTTATCCTCCCCCTATAAGGGGATTTTTCTCCAATATTCACTGTGAGAACCTGGGAGAGCTCCTGAGGGTAAAACTCACAAAAGTGTCAGGGCCACCTTATGACAAGGCTCCCCAGAGGAGTTGTGATTTTTTGTTTGTTTGTTTTGAGACAGAGTTTCACTCTTGTTGCCCATGCCAGAGTGCAATGGTGCAATCTCAGCTCACTGCAACCTCCACCTCCCAAGTTCAAGCGATTCTCCTGCCTCAGCCTCCCGAGTAGCTGGGATTACAGGCATGCGCCACCACAACCAGTTAATTTCATATTTTTAGTAGAGATGGGGCTTCCCCGTGTTGGTCAGGCTGGTCTTGAACTGCCAACCTCAGGTGATCTGCTTGCCTTGGCCTCCCAAAGTGCTGGGATTATAGGTGTGAGCCACCGTGCCCAGACTTTTTTGTTTTTTAACTATCAGACTTGTCCACACAGAGCCTCTAGCAATTGTTTGGGTTTTCCTACCCCATTACTGGCTTCTGTGGAGGTTTCTGATTGTGAGCTTCTGCTCCAGTAAGTTTGGATTCCCTGCATCCACTTGTCTTTCTCTCCTGTTTTGAGGACAGTAGTTTTCCCTGGGACCTCACTGCTCTGACAGATCTAAGAAGAGTTGTTGATTTTTTTCAGTTTGTTCAGCTTTTTACTTGTTTATAACAGAGTGATGACTTTAAAGCTCCTTTCATGCTGGGCCAGAAATCAGAAGTCCTGATGAGTGTTTTTTATGGTCAAAAAGTGTTGGATTTTGTCAAATTTTTTTCTGAAATGGTTGAGATAATCATGTAGTTTGGGTTTGTTATTCTTTTAGTATGGTACATTACATTAATTGATTTTTTGGATATGAAAACAAACCTTTCACTCCTGGGATAAATTCTTCTTTGTGGTTGTGTATAACTCTTTTTATATGTTACTGTGTTTGTTTTGCTAGTGTTTGGTTGAGGATTTTTTAGTCCATAGTCATAAGAAATTCTGGTCTGTAGTTTTTTTTCTTTTTTCATTGTGATGTCTTTGTCTGGCTTCAGTATCAGGGTAATATTGCCCTCATAGAATGAGTTGGGAAGTGTTCCTTCCTCTTACTTTTTGGAGGTGTTAATAAAAAATTGGTATTAATTCTTCTTTAAATATTCATAGAATGCACCAGTGAAGACATCTGGGTCTGGACTTTTCTTTGTGGATATTGTTTTGATTACAAATTCAGATCACTTTCCCTGTTTTAAGTCTATTCAGATTATCTATTTCTTCTTGAGTCAGTTTTGATAGTGTATTTCTAGGAATTTGTCCATTTTATCTAAATTATAAAATGTATTATGGTACAATTTGTTTATAGTAATCCTTTCTCATCTTTTTTTTTATTTTTCATAATGTTGGTGGTAATGCCCACTCTTTCAATTCAGATTCTGTCTTCTCTCATTCTTTTTTGGTCAGTCTAACTACATACTTGTCAATTCTGTTTGTGCTGTCAAATATCCAGATTTTGCTTCATTGATTTTCTCTATAGTTTTTATGTTCCTGTTTCATCAGTTTCTGCTCTATTTGCTCTTATCTTCTCCCTTCTGCTTGCTTTAGGTTTTGTTTGTTCTTTTCTTCTTTTTCTACTGTCTTAAGGTGGAAGGTTAGGTTACTCACTTGAGATATTTCTTTATTTTTAATATAGGCATGTACCACTGCCAGCATTGCTTTAGCACTGCAATGCTGGCAGTGGTACATGCCTATATTAAAGTGATATATGTCTACATTAAAATGGTATATGCCTAAGTTTTGGTATGTTGTGTCTTCATTTTCATTTGTCTAAAGGTATTTTCTTTCTTTTCTTTTTCATAGGAGAAAAGGCCTACACATTTATTTAAAATGTACACAAGGCAGCCTTCAGAGTAAGGACCAAACCCCTAACGAGGTACAGAAGCTTATATACCACCTTGAGGTTATAGAAATGACACAGTCTCAGAGCATGGGCAAAAACAGATTATGTTGGTAAATCTGGTTTTATTGGCAAGACAAGTTATAAGAGGGACAAAGGAAGAGGCTTGGCTAGCATAGGGGGTCTTGTTATGTAGATGAAGCCTCAGAGGCAGTAGCCCTTAGAGATAATAGATGGCAAATGTTTCTTTTCAGACTTTTAAAGGTGTCAGACTCTCAATCTCTCCTAGATTCTGGAAAGGCCTGGAAAAGGAAGACCTGGATGCATTAATGGAGATTCTCTACAGAAGCAAGTTTCTCCTCAAAAGCCAGCTTTGCTGGGCTATTTCAATTGGCTGGCCCTGTGGCAACTATTTAAAAATATGTCAAAAAATATATTTTGAGGTAAAATATTTTGATTTCCTTCAGTCCTCACTTTGAAACTTGAAAAAAGTTTCATATATTAAAAGCCAGCCTGTTAGCTTTGGAGAGATTTGGCTTAGAGGTTATTAGATAGAGACAGACAAAGAAGTGGAAAGACAAATTGGGATAGACAGAAAAGAAGACGTTAAAATATATCATCCTGTATCTTCTTTAGTCAGTCTCTTAGCCCTGAGAAGAGAGCAGTTCAATTAAACAGCTATGTGTCACTCCAGGATGTAGCATTGCCGTTGGGCTAGGACTCTATATATGATGCAAGAAAACACATCTCCTATAGGGATTCTCTAATTTACCTTTTGATTTCTTCTTTCACCTTTAGGTCATTTAGGAATGTGTTTTTGATTTTCCATATATTTGGGAATGTTCAGTTTGCCTTCGGTTATTGAATTCTAGTTTCATTCCATTGCAGTTGAAGTAGATACTTTGTATATTTCAAGATTTTTAAATTGTTGAGACTTATGTAAATCAAAACTAAAATTCTAACCCCCATACAACTAAATGGACCCCTCTTCCAGGGCAAGGGCATTCCAAAGTTAACCTGAAAAACTAGTTTAGGTCATGATGGAAAGAAGGAGTCAAACATGACTTGTTATGTCCTCTGCTTGTTGGAATGCAGGCACAGCTGACCAGCATTAACGTTAAAACAGACTGACAAAACAAACTCTCTATAGCAATGAGATACCAACATGACAGATAGCAGGCCCTAAAAGAAATCAAAGTATTTTACCCCAAAATATGTTTCTGAGACATATTTTGAAGTGGCCTTGCAAAGCTGTCTCTTGTGGGGAAAATCTACATCCTATAGAGAATCTCCCTCCCTTTCCGGGTCTTTTTCCTGATCCAAGAGAGAATTAACTAACTAAGAGTCTGGCATCTTCTTAAGTCTGGTAAGAAACATTTACAGTCTTTTCTCTCTGAATCCTGCTTCCTGGAGGCCTCATTTGCATAATAAGAACCTTGGTCTCTGTCAGGCCTCTGAGCCCAAGCTAAGCCATCATATCCCCTGTGACCTGCACGTACACATCCAGACGGCCAGTTCCTGCCTTAACTGATGACATTCCACCACAAAAGAAGTGAAAATGGCCTGTTTCTGCCTTAACTGATGACACTGTCTTGTGAAATTCCTTCTCCTGGCTCATCCTGGCTCAAAAGCTCCCCCACTGAGTACCTTGTGACCCCCACTCCTGCCCACCACAGAACAACTCCCCTTTTTCCTTTACCTACCCAAATCCTATAAAACGGCCCCACCCCCATCTCCCTTCACTGACTCTTTTCGGACTCAGCCCGCCTGCACCCAAGTGAAATAAGCAGCCATGTTGCTCACACAAAGCCTGTTTGGTGGTCTCTTCACAAGGACGCGCATGAAATTTGGTGCCGTGACTCGGATCGGGGGACCTCCCTTGGGAGATCAATCCCCTGTCCTCCTGTTCTTTGCTCCATGAGAAAGATCCACCTACGACCTCAGGTCCTCAGACCAACCAGCCCAAGGAACGAACATCTCGCCAATTTTAAATCAGGTAAGCGGCCTCTTCTTACTCTCTTCTCCAACCTCTCTCACTGTCCCTCAATCACTTTCTCCTTTCCACTCTTCAATCTCTCCCTTCTCTTAATTTCAATTCCTTTTATTTTCTGGTAGAGACAAAGGAGACACATTTTATCCATGGACCGAAAACTCTGGCGCCGGTCACAGACTAGGGAAGGCAGCCTTCCCTTGGTGTTTAATCATTGCAGGGACACCTCTCTGATTATTCACCCAGGTTTCAGAGGTGTCAGACCATGCAGGGATGCCTGCCTTGGTCCTTCACCCTTAGCGGCAAGTCTCGCTTTTCTGGGAAAGGGGCAAGTACCCCAACCCCTTCTCTCCATGTCTCTACCCCTTCTCCACCTTTCTGGGGGACAAGAAACCCCCAACCCCTTCTCCTTCACCCTGAGCGGCAAGTCCCACTTTTCTAGAGGAGGGGCAAGTACCCCAACCTCGTATCTCTGTGCCCCGATCCCTTATTTCCATGCCCAGACCTCTTATATCTCTGCGCCCCAATCCCTTATTTCCGTGCCCCAACCGCTTATATCTCTGTGCCCCGATCCCTTATTTCCGCGCCCCAACCCCTTCTCTGCTTTTCTGGAGGGCAAGAACCCCCCACCCCTTCTCCGTGTCTCTACTCTTTTCTCTGGGCTTGCCTCCTTCACTATGGGCAAGCTTCCACCTTCCATTCCTCCTTCTTCTCCCTTAGCCTGTGTTCTTAAGAACTTAAAACCTCTTCAACTCTCACCTGACCTAAAATCTAAGCATCTTATTTTCTTCTGCAATGCTGCTTCACCCCAATACAAACTCGACAGTAGTTCCAAATAGCCGGAAAACGGCACTTTCAATTTTTCCATCCTACAAGATCTAAATAATTCTTGACGTAAAATGGGCAAATGGTCTGAGCTGCCTGACGTCCAGGCATTCTTTTACACATTGGTCCCTCTCTAGTCTCTGTTCCCAATGCAACTCATCCCAAATCTTCCTTCTTTCCCTCCCACCTGTCCCCTCAGTCTCAACCCCAAGCGTTGCTGAGTCTTTCTAATCTTCCTTTTCTACAGACCCATCTGACCTCTCCCCTCCTCCCCAGGCTGCTCCTCGCCAGGCCGAGCTAGGTCCCAATTCTTCCTCAGCCTCCGCTCCTCCACCCTATAATCCTTTTATCACCTCCCATCCTCACACCCGGTCCAGCTTACAGTTTCATTCCGTGACTAGCCCTCCGCCACCTGCCCAGCAATTTACTCTTAAAAAGGTGGCTGGAGCTAAAGGCATAGTCAAGGTTAATGCTCCTTTTTCTTTATCCCAAATCGGATAGCGTTTAGGCTCTTTTTCATCAAATATAAAAATCCAGCCCAGTTCATGACTCGTTTGGCAGCAACCCTGAGACACTTTACAGCCCTAGACCCTAAAAGGTCAAAAGCCGTCTTATTCTCAAAATACATTTTATTACCCAATCTGCTCTCAACATTAACTAAAACTCCAAAAATTAAATTCCAGCCCTCAAACCCCACAACAGGATTTAATTAACCTCGCCTTCAAGGTGTGCAATAATAGAAAAAAGTTGTAATTCCTTGCCTCCACTGTGAGACAAACCCCAGCCACATCTCCAGCACACAAGAACTTCCAAACGCCTGAACCGCAGTGGCCAGGTGTTCCTCCAGAACCTCCTCCTCCAGGAGCTTGCTACAAGTGCCAGAAATCTGGCCACCAGGCCAAGGAATGCCTGCAGCCCAGGATTCCTCCTAAGCCAAGTCCCATCTGTGCGGGACCCCACTGGAAATCGGACTGTTCAACTCACCTGGCAGCCACTCCCAGAGCCCCTGGAACTCTTGCCCAAGGCTGACTCCTTCCCAGACCTTCTTGGCTTAGCGGCTGAAGACTGATGCTGCCCGATTGCCTCAGAAGCCCCCTAGACCATCAGAGACGCTGAGCTTCGGGTAACTCTCACAGTGGAGGGTAAGTCTGTCCCCTTCTTAATCAATACGGAGGCTACCCACTCCACATTACCTTCTTTTCAAGGGCCTGTTTCCCTTGCCTCCATAACTGTTGTGGGTATTGACGGCCAGGCTTCTAAACCTCTTAAAACTCCCCAACTCTAGTGCCAACTTAGACAATACTCTTTTAACCACTCCTTTTAGTTACCCCCACCTGCCCAGTTCCCTTATTAGGCCGAGACACTTTAACTAAATTATCTGCTTCCCTGACTATTCCTGGATTACAGCTGCATCTCATTGCTGCCCTTCTTCCCAATCCAAAGCCTCCTTTGCGTCCTCCTCTTGTATCCCCCACCTTAACCCACAAGTATAAGATACCTCTACTCCCTCCTTGGTGACCAATCATACACCTCTTACCATCTCATTAAAACCTAATCACCCTTACCCTGCTCAATGCCAATATCCCATCCCACAACATATTTTGAAAGGATTAAAGCCTGTTATCACTCACCTGCTACAGCATGGCCTTTTAAAGCCTATAAACTCTCCTTATCATTCTCCCATTTTACCTGTCTTAAAACCAGACAAGCCTTACAAGTTAGTTCAGGATCTATGCCTTATCAACCAAATTGTTTTGCCTATCCCCCCCATGGTGCCAAACCCATATACTCTCCTATCCTCAATACCTCCTTCCACAATCCATTATTCTGTTCTGGATCTCAAACATGCTTTCTTTACTATCTTTGCACCCGTCATCCTAGCCTCTCTTCGCTTTCACTTGGACTGACTCTGACACCCATTAGGCTCAGCAAATTACCTGGGCTGTACTGCCGCAAGCCTTCACAGACAGCCCCCATTACTTCAGTCAAGCCCAAATTTCATCCTCATCTGTTACCTATCTTGGCATAATTCTCATAAAAACACACATGCTTTCCCTGTTGATTGTGTCCGATTAATCTCCCAAACTTCAATCCCTTACAAAACAACAACTCCTTTCCTTCCTAGGCGTGGTTAGTGTGGTCAGAATTCTTACACAAGAGCCAGGACCGCACCCTGTAGCCTTTCTGTGCAAACAACTTGACCTTACTGTTTTAGCCTAGCCATCATGTCTCTGTGCAGTGGCTGCTGCTGCCCTAATACTTTTAGAGGCCCTCAAAATCACAAACTATGCTCAACTTACTCTCTACATTTCTCATAACTTCCAAAATCTATTTTCTTCCTCATACCTGATGCATATACTTTCTGCTCCCCGGCTCCTTCAGCTGCACTCCCTCTTTGTTAAGTCCCACAATAACCATTGCTCCTGGCCCGGACTTCAATCCGGCCTGCCACATTATTCCTGATACCACACCTGACCCCCATGACTGTATCTCTCTGATCCACCTGACATTCACCCCATTTCCCCGTATTTCCTTCTTTCCTGTTCCTCACCATGATCACGCTTGATTTATTGATGGCAGTTCCACCAGGCCTAATCGCCACACACCAGCAAAGGCAGGCTATGCTATAGTACAAGCCACTAGCCCGCCTCTTAGAACCTCTCATTTCCTTTCCATCGTGGAAATCTATCCTCAAGGAAATAACTTCTCAGTGTTCCATCTGCTATTCTACTACCCCTCAGGGATTATTCAGGCCCCCTCCCTTCCCCACACATCAAGCTCGAGGATTTGCCCCCACCCAGGACTGGCAAATTAGCTTTACTCAACATGCCCCGAGTCAGGTAACTAAAATACCTCTTAGTCTAGGTAGACACTTTCACTGGATAGGGAGAGGCCTTTCCTACAGGGTCTGAGAAGGCCACCGCAGTCATTTCGTCCCTGCTGTCAGACATAATTCCTCAGTTTAGCCTTCCCACCTCTATACAGTCTGATAACGGACCAGCCTTTATTAGTCAAATCAGCCAAGCAGCTTTTCAGGCTCTTAGTATTTAGTGAAACCTTTATATCCCTTACGGTCCTCAGTCTTCAGGAAAAGTAGAACGGACTAAAGGTCTTTTAAAAACACACCTCACCAAGCTCAGCCACCAACTTAAAAAGGACTGGACAATACTTTTACCACTTTCGCTTCTCAGAATTCAGGCCTGTCCTTGGAATGCTACAAGGTACAGCCCATTTGAGCTCCTGTATAGACGCTCCTTTTTATTAGGCCCCAGTCTCATTCCAGACACCAGACCAACTTAGACTGTGCCCCCAGAAAAACTTGTCATCCCTACTATCTTCTGTCTAGTCATACTCCTATTCACCGTTCTCAACTACTCATACATGCCCTGCTCTTGTTTACACTGCCGGTTTACACTGTTTCTCCAAGCCATCACAGCTGATATCTCCTGGTGCTATCCCCAAACTGCCACTCTTAACTCTTGAAGTAAATAAATAATCTTTGCTGGCAGGACTATGCTGAATCTCCTTAGGCACTCTCTAATCAGATGTCCTGAGTCGTCCCAATTCTTAGACCTTTTAAACCTGTTTTTCTCCTTCTCTTATTCCATTTAGTTTTTCAATTCATACAAAACTGTATCCAGGCCATCACCAATAATTCTAAATTACAAATGTTCCTTCTAACAACCTCACAATATCACCCCTTACCACAAAATCTTCCTTCAGCTTAATCTCTCCCACTCTAAGTTCCCAAACCACCCCCAATCCCGCTCGAAGCAGCCCTGAGAAACATCGCCCATTTATCTCCCCATACCATCCCCCAAAATTTTCACCGTCCCAACACTTTACCACTATTTCATTTTGTTTTTCTTATTAATACAAGAAGACAGGAATGTCAGGCCTCTGGGCCCAAGCTAAGCCATCATATCCCCTGTGACCTGCACGTACACATCCAGATGGCCGGTTCCTGCCTTAACTGATAACATTCCACCACAAAAGAAGTGAAAATGGCCTGTTCCTGCCGTAACTGATGACACTGTCTTGTGAAATTCCTTCTCCTGGCTCATCCTGGCTCAAAAGCTCCCCCACTGAGTACCTTGTGACCCCCACTCCTGCCCACCACAGAACAACCCCCCTTTTTCCTTTACCTACCCAAATCCTATAAAACGGCCCCACCCCTATCTCCCTTCGCTGACTCTCTTTTCGGACTCAGCCCGCCTGCACCCAGGTGAAATAAACAGCCATGTTGCTCACACAAAGCCTGTTTGGTGGTCTCTTCACACGGACGCACATGAAAGTCTCCACAACCCCTTATCTTAACCCAGACACCCCCTTCTGTTGATTCCAGGTCTTTAGAGAAACTCTTTCAACCAATTGCCAATCTGAAAATCTTTTGAATCTACCTACGACCTGGAAGCCTCACTTTTAGTTGTCCTGTCTTTCTGGACTGAATCAATGTACATCTTACACATATTGATTGATGCCTTATTTCTCCTCAAAATGTATAAATCCAACCCGTAGCTGACCACCTTGGGCACATGCTCTCAGGACCTTGTGGGGCTGTGTCATAGCTCATTGGTTACTCATATTTGGCTCAGAATAAATCTCTTCAAATATCTTACAATGTTTGATTCTTTTTGTTGGCACTTGTTTTGTAACCTAAGATATGGTCTATACTGTGGAATGTTCTATATGCACTTGAGATAAATGTGTATTCTGCTGTTCTTGTGTGGAGGACTCTGACTAAGTCTGTTAGGTCTAGTTGGTTATGGTGTTGTTCAAGTGTTTTATCTCCTTATTGATCTTCTCCGTAGTTTTATTCATTATTGAAAGTGGAGTATTGATGTTTCTACCTATTACTGTAGAATCGTATATTTCTCCCTTTAATTCTCTATTAGCTTGATATATATTGGAGCTCTGGTATGAGGTACAAATATGTTTATAATTATGACATCTTCATGATGGATTGACCCGTTTACCAATGTATAATATTCTTTTGTCTCCTGCAACATATCTGACTTAAAGTCTATTTTGTCTGACATTAGTATAGCCAGCTCAGCTCTCTTTTGGTTATTATTTACGTAGAATATCTTTTTATAGCCCCTACTTTCAATCTGTTTGTATCTTTGGATTTAAAGTGTATTTCCCATAAATTGCATGTAGCAAATCTGGTAATTTTTATTCAGTTTAATAATCTCTGCCTTTGAATTGAATTGTTTACTTCATTCCCATTAGATATTATCTTTCCTTTTACTTTTTATTTTCTATATTTTGCATATCTTTTTTGTTTCTCTATTCCTCTTTTACTGCTTTCTTTTGTATTGAGTATTTTCTAATGTAACATTTTAATTCTCTAATGATTGTTTTCACTATACTTTTTGAGTTATTTCCTTGGGGTTGCTCTAGGGCTTACATATACATCTTAACTTATCAGAATCAGCTTCAGATTTATACTAACTTAATTCCAGTGAGATATAGAAATATCACTCTTACATAGCTCTATTCCCTTTCCCCACTTTTTATGGTATTATTATTAAACATATTACATCTATAAATGTTATAAGCCAAGCAATACATTGTTATAATGATTACTTTATATAGTTTTATGTCTTTTAAAGAAACTAAGCTAATAAAAGACAGCAATTATATAGTTATAGCTTTTTTAATATTAGCCCTCTTATTTATCATTTCTGATTCTCTTCATTTGTTCTTGTGGAGTCAAGCTACCATCTGGAGTCATTTCCTTAGCCCAGTACAGCTTTGCTCCCACCCACATTCTTGTTGCTGTTATTGGCAAAGATATTACATTTCTATATGTTTTGAGACCAACAATACATTATATGCACATTGTGTTACACAATTGCTTTTAAAATCAGTAGAGAGAAGAAAGGAGAAGAAATTTGCATTTATAGTCTTTTTATAGTTACATAATTACCTTTACCAGTGTTCTTTGTTTTTTTTGTGTGGATTCATATTACTATCTGGGGTCACTTGCTTTCAGCCTGAAGAAATTTCTTTAGTGTTTTTTCCTTTGGTATTAAATAAATACTATAATTCCTTTAGTAGTCTCAGCATTTGTTTATCTGGGAATTTATTCCACGTTCATTTTTGAAAGAGAGCTTTGCTGGATATAGGATACTTGGTTGATTATATTTTTCTTTGGGCACTTTGAATATATTATGTCCCTACCTTCTGGTCTCCATTGTTTCTGAAAAGAAATCAGCTATTAATCTTATTGGAGTTCTCTTGTGAATGACAAGTCATTTTTCTCTTGCTGCTTTCAAGATTTTCTCCTTGTCTTTGGCTTTTAGAAGTTTTACTATAATGTGTCTCTTTGTAGTTCCATTTGAATTTATTCTATTTAGATCATCAAGCTTCCTGGGTGTATAAATTAATATTTTTCAATAAATTGGGGGTATTTAAGGCCATTATTTCTTCAGATTTTTTCTTCTCTTTCTTCCCCCAACCATAGTCTTATTATATGTATGCTGGTGTACTTCATGGTATCCCACCTTTCCTGAAGGTTCTGTTCATTTTTCTTCAATTTTTCCCTCTCCGTGCTATCACTCTATCTTCAAGTTTGCGACTTCCTCCTTTTGAGAGTTCAAATCTACTATTGAGCCCCCCTAGTGAATTTTTCATCTCAGTATAGTTGACACTTGAATGACATATGTGAACTTTTAAAAATAAATATTTTGGAAATTTTTTTGGAAATTTATGACAATTTCAAAAAACTCACAAATGAATCATATAGCCTAGAAATATAAAACAAAATATTTTAAATTAGGTATGTCATGAATGCATAAAATATATATAGATGTCATTCTATTTTATCATTTAGTACCATAAAATATACACAAATCTGTTATAAAAAGTTAAAATTTATCAAAACTTACACACACAAACACTTACAGACTCTACACGATGCCATTCACAGTCAAGAGAAATGTAAACAAATGTAAAGGGGGCAGTATTAAATCCCAACTGCATAAAATTTACTGTGGTATGTACTTTACTACTGTAATAATTCCATAGCCACCTCCTGTTTCTATTACATGAGCTCAAGTGTTGTGAGAATATGCTGAAAACAACATGTGATACTAATCATCTTCCTGTGAGCAGTTCTTCTCTCTAATAAATTGCATATTGCAGTAAAAAATGATCTCTCAAGATTCTTATGTATTTTTCACTATGCTTAGTGTAATATTGTAAACCTTGAATAACACCATGGGACCCATGCAAAGTCATGCCAGAAATGTTCCCAAGAAGCAAAGAAAAGTCATGACATTCCTAGAAAAAATTGAATTGTTTAACATATACCATAGATTGAGGTCTGCAACTGTGATTGCCTGCCATTTCAAGATAAATAAATCTAGCATGAACATTGTAGAAAAAGAAAAGGAAGGCCGGGCTAGGTGGCTCATGCTTGTAATCCTAGAACTTTGAGAGGTCAAGGCAGGTGGATCACCTGAGGTCAAGAGTTCGAGACTATCCTGGCCAACATGGTGAAACCCCATCTCTACTAAAAATACAAAAATTGGCCTGGTGTGGTGGCACGCACCTATAATCCCAGCTACTTGGGAGGCTGAGGCAGGAGAATTGCTTGAACTGGGAGGCAGAGGTTGCAGTGAGCCGAGATTGCACCACTGCACTCCAGGCTTGGTGACAGAGTGAGAGTTTGTCTCAAAAAAAAAAAAGAAAAGAAAAGAAAATTCATGAAGCCATCATTGCAGCTATACCAGCAAGTGTGAAGACCTTGCACTTTTTGCAAAATACCTTTTTACATCATATAGAAAATGCAGCTTTTATGCGGGTGTAGAATTGCTAAAGGAAAGGCATACTTATAACCTCTCATATGATGTGAGAAAAAGCAAAGTCATTATATGACAACCGAAAGCAAAAAGATGTTGAAGGATCTAATGCTGGAGAATTTAATGCCAGCAAAGGATGGTTTGATAATTTTAGAGAAAAGTTTGTCTTTGAAAATGTCAAGATAACAGGAGAAGCATTTTCTGCCAACCCAGAGACAGCAGTGAGTTCCCAGATGCCACTAAGAAAATCGTTGATAAGAAAAGATATCTGCTAAAAAGGTTTTTAATGCAGATGAAAGTGCCCTATTCTAGAAAAAAGAAAATGCCCCCAATGGCATTTATTAGTAAGAAAGAGAAGTGAGCATCAGGATTTAAGGCAGGAAGGGATGGGCTAACTCTACTCTTTTGTGCAAATGCAGTTGGGTTTATGATCAGGACTCTTTTGGGGGATCAAAAGTTATATGCAAATTTAATGTAAATTTCATGAATTTGCTTTTTTAAAAAATATCTTGAAATGGCAAGCAACCACAGCTGCAGATCTCAATCTATGGTACATATTAAACAATTCAACTTTCAATAAATGTTACATGTAATATTTTTGATGTGTGGGGTGTTGGTGCCCCAAACCTGCATTGTTCAAGGGTCAACTGTATGGTACTTGTCAACTCCATGATTTACATTTTATTTGTAATTCCAATCTCTTTATTAATATTGTATATTTTATATGGCATTATCATTATGCCTTCCATTACTTCTTTAATTATGGTTCCCTTTTGTTGTTTGACAAATTTGTAATGGCTACTTTGAAGTCATTGATATACCAATATTTTGTTGTTTTTATAGGCAGTTTATGTTACCTGCTTATTTTTCCAGTGCATGGTTCATACTTTCTCTTTGTATGTTTCATAATTTTTTGTTGGAAACTGGGCATTTTAGATAATACATTATAGCAGCTCTGAATACAGTCCTTCCACCGCCCAGGCTTTTTATTGCTTATTTGTTTGGTTGCCACTGCATAATTTTAGTGAATTCTGTTCTCCTCACTCCTCTGTGTTAAGTCTCTGATGTTCTTCAGAGGGTACAGCATTGGGTAGGCTTGCAGTCACTCTGGGATGACAGTGGTTTTGGCAGAGTGGCACAGCTCTCTTTAGCTATCTCTTTCACTGACTGCACCCAGATGTTGAGCTCCATGAATGCCCAGCAGATTTCTAGGGCTCCTGCTGGTTATCTCTTTCCCTGGGTGTTTTCTCCAGCAAAATAGCTGACCTACAGTTTAGCATATATCTCCAATGAACCTGTCAATGTCTTCTCAGCTGTTTGGTTTTTTTTTTTTTTTTAATTTTTTTTTTGTTGTTTTTTAACCACAAGTCCATTGTTTTCGAGAGTGCACTTAGGTTTGAACTTCTGCACACTTTCTTGTGAATGAAGTAAGTTCTTTTAGGAAGAGACTTGGGGCTCTCTGCTTTATAGTCTGCCTCTCTACTTGGGCAAAATTTCTGGACTGTAGATCTGGGGCTGGAAGTGGGGACAATGGTGTGTTTCTCTCTGAGTGACACCTCACTTTTGGAACTGAATGTTTGATGGAAAGGAGAGGGGCTAGTAGCCTCAGGTCTTTTCAGCTTACTTCCCCTGGCATAGACCCATCACCTTGAGAGATGATACAACAGCAATCAGGGCCTTTGTATAATCAGCAGCACTGCACCCAATACAAAACCATCCCACAAGCGCAGGCTGAATGGAGGAAGGGATCCTCTATCTCTTGGCTACACTCACCCAGATTTTAGCCTCAGCAACAGGTAGCTGAGGACAAGATGAGAAGTGCTGACATCCTCTGACTGGGAGCTGTCTGGAGAAGGAGCCGTGTGCTCTTAGCTGTCTGGAGTGTAGTTTCCATTTCACTAAGCTTGGAGAGGAGAAGGAGGGAGTGATATTGGTTCAAATACCACAGATTCTCACTGTTCTTACTCAGTTTTAGTAGGTTCTCCTAAATGCTTCTTTATTTGCTGTATTCCCTTAGAACAGTTTCTAGAGACTTTAAATGGTTATTTTTGTTTTGTTTTTAAAAATAATTTTGCTGGTCATGGTGGCTCACGCCTATAATCCCAACAATTTGAGAGGCCACGGAGGGAGGATTGTTTGAGGCCAGAGTTCAAGATTACCTTGGGAAACATAGCACGACACCATCTCTACAAAAAAATAAAAAATAAAAAATTAGCCAGGTGTGCTGGTGCATGCCATATTCTTGGGGCTGAGGCAGAAGGATCACTTGAGCCCAGGAGTTTGAGGCTACAGTGAGCTATGATTGTGCCACCGAACTCTAGCTTGGGTGATCCCATCTCTAAAAGAAAAAAATATATATTTTTAAACCAGTTTCACTGGCTAGCAGGTTTGTGAAGCTCCTCATGCCATCCTGCTAGAAGTCAAATCCACCTTATTTGTTTCGGTGTTCCCAGCTCCTAGCCCCAAAATTTGGCACACAGTTGGTGCTCATAATGTAGATCAAGCAAATGAATAAGTGACCGGATGGATGGGTAGATGAGTGATGGTTATCAGGGATGGTTGATTTTATGTATCAACTAGTCTGTGCCACGGGGTTCTCAGACCTTTGGTCAAACATTCTGGGTGTGTCTGTGAGGGTGTTCCTGGATGAGATTAAAATTTGAATCAGTCGACAGAGTACAGCAAATCACCCTCCTTAATGTGGGTGGGCCTCATCCAATCAGTTGAAGACCTGAATAGAACAAAAAGGCTGACCCTTCTGAGAGTAAGAGGGAGCTCTTCCTGTCCAACTACCTTGAAATCAGGACATCATTTTTTTTTCCATGTTTGGACTTGAGCTGAAACATTGGGTTTTCCTAGGTGTTAAGCCCGCCAGCCTTCAGACTAAAACCGCACCATTGCCTCTCCTTGGTCTCCAGCTGTCTGACTGCTGATCTTGGGATTTATTAGCCTCCATAATTGCATAAGCCAATTCCCTATAATGCATTTCTTCATAGATAGATAGATAGATATGTGTGTATGTACGTATGTATATGTATATATAATTTCTTTTTATATATATGTATATATCTATCCTATTGTTTCTGTTTCTCTGGACAACCCTGATTAATACAAGAAGGAACATATCAAGAATTGACAAATGGAATTTCATGACATGGTCCTATTTGGTAATCATAGTACTAAAAGTAGTGTCCTTATCATATGCATTGTATCCTGTGCATCAGACATTTCTCCTTTGGATCCTTAAGTTGAGGTATGTAAACATTTTCTATTTCCTTTTTTAAAAGTACCCCCTTTCAAAACAAGTATTCCTTGATTATCCAAATGAAATCAATGATAATCAGATCCACTATTCTTTAAGTATTACCTTCAAATTGTGTGCAATTTTAAAAATACAAATAGCATAGATGAAACACATATTAAGTTTCCAGAACTGACTTCTTGAGAGTTAAAGCATTTGTTTTAAAAATAATCGTCCCAAAATCTTTGGAGAAATCACAAGAAAATGGCAGTTGAGATAGTGGCATTTTTATATTATGCGCCTCAGTAAATGAAAGTCTCAGCTGAATAATCTCTAATCTGCATTAGCATGCTTGCCCCCCCACCCACCTCTCTCTCTCTATTTTGTATTACATTCACACAGACCCTATTATCTGATCCTACAGAGATCTTGTTTAGAGTACACAAAACTTCCCCGGAGGGTTTTCCATTTAAAGCAAAAAAGCGGATCAACAGTACTCTGGTGCAATGCTCTAGAAAGATATAAGCCTACAATTGATTTTCATTGTGGGAGATATATAGCATTCATCTGCTCACCAGCTTCAGTTCAAACTCGGCAGCAAGGCTAAGCCAAGGACTGGGAGCTGGCTTCTGAGAACATCAGGGAAACAACAGCCTTTGCTCGACCATCTATTTTTTGCCCAGTTTTAACACTGAAGGGCTTAGGAAGAGAAATGACAACATTTTCAACATGAAGCTTATTCAATGTTTCTGTGTTGCTACAATTAAGCATTTCAGAAGCATATGTGCTGCCTTTCAGTTCAAACCCAGTCGTCCGCTCTGACAGGTCACAGACAAAAACCAGGATAATGACATTCTATCTTGATCGCAGGATCCAGACAGACCAGTCTGCTGTGGATCAAAAAAGAAAACAACAACCCAAGTGCTGATTTAATTTCCTTCTCCTCAAATATTGAGTTCATATTGAAATTGAGCATACCAAGTGTGAATCTTGCTAAGAATAGCACCTCTTAGTGGTGTATGAAATCTGCAAGAGTTTCTCCAGGTAATTGCAAAGTCCTAATATAGTATGACCTATGTTCATTATTTTTTCAACAAGTTCAGATCCTACCTAGGACATTATCCTATCCATCTAGACAAAATGAAAAGGACAATTGAGGAGATTATCTATATAATTGATATGGTTTGGCTCTGTGTCCCCACCCAAATCTCACCTTGAATTGTAATAATTCCCACATGGCAAGGGCAGGACCAGGTGGAGGTAATTAGATCATGGGGGTGGCTTCCCCCATGCTGTTATTGTGTTAATGAGTGAGTCTCACGAGATCCGATGCCTTTATAAGCATCTGGCATTTTCCCTGCTTGCACTCATTCTCTCTCCTGCCACCCTATGAAGAGGTGCCTTCTGCCATGAGGCCTCCCCAGCCATGCGGAACTGTGAGTCAATTAAACCTCTTTTCTTTATAAATTACCCAGTCTTGGGTATTTCTTAATATCAGCATGTGAACAGACTAATACAATAATTTAGAAATTTTAGAAAAAAGTGGCTTTCAAGTATCAGGAAAATTGAGAGGAGAATGATACAAATCATTTTGACTAGCACACATGCTCAACTTATTTGAGCGTATTCTTCATTCTTCTTTGTCTTTCAGAGCTGTTACCATTTGAGGTTCTCAATGAGCCAGTTTGCAGAGTTCCATTCAAGATACTCAAGATATAGTGAGTCAGGCAACTTTCCCCTGGAGTCATGGGTTCAAAAAGTATTAGGCTTTTCTCAAGCATGGAGGTCTAATTCCTTCCCATTGCTTAGATTTGGCCCCATTCGGTAACTTTCCTGAAGATATAGAAGCTTGGATGTCAATCAAATACGCACCTTCAATTTCTGGCTAACTCTTCTAGCGTGAATGCCAATCTGTTCTCTCAAACAGTGCTGTGCAAAGTGAAAACCTTGAAGCAACCTGTGGTAGGCTGAATCATGGCCCCAAAGATGTCCACATCCTAAATCCCAGAAACTGTGAATATGTTAACTTACATGGGAAAAGAAACTCTGCATAGGTGATTCAGTTAAGAATCTTGAGATGAGGTGATTATTTTGCATAATCCAGGTGGGTCCAATGCAATCCCAGAGGTCCTTATAAAAGGCAGGTGAGAGTCAGAGTCAGAGAACAAGATATAATAATGAAAGCAGAGGTTGGAGTGATGTGGGGCTGTGAATCAAGAAATCAGCTGCTGGGATAGGTAGGGAAACAGATTCTCCCCTAGAGCCTCCAGAAGGAACGCAGCTCTACTGAACCATTTTTAGGCCTCTGACCTCCACAACTGTAAGAAGATTAATTTGTGTTGTTTTAAGGCACTGAATGGGGGTGATTTATTACGACAGCAATAGGAAACTAATATACTCTACTCCATTTTAGCCCTACAGTTTCTATACAAGCCTAATAAGTAGTCCTCCCTTGCTGTCTTTCCCTTAATTCTTCAGAGCAGAGTTCTTAAACAGGGTTTGGGTGGCAATCAACCTTCTAAAATTATATTTACAATTTTGTGTCACATGCATTTTTCTGGAAAGGAGTCCATAGATTTCATCAGACTGGCAAAGTGATCTGTGATCTTAAAATCGAAAATGTTAGTCTTGATTGGACATTCCTAACTTCACATCTTTGTCCCCAGCAGACTGTGAGTGGCATAAAAGTGTGAGAAAGTGAATGTTTCAAATATTTTTATTCCTTCATTACTGGTCCTTCCTTCACTCCTAAAAATGAGGCTGCACAGGGCTTAGCTCTAACCTGGTGTTCCCGCATGTCCTTGAGGTACTGCTCTTAATTTTTATACATGCAAAAATCTATTCCTCATGTGGAGTCGTAGTTACCAGTGACTTCACTGAGCATGAGGCCGGGTAACTCCGCTGCAGCCATCACTGCTGTGCTAGGCATGGTGGCATTGGTGATGGTGGTGGAGTGGACAGGGGTGTCAGCATGAACCTAGCATCCCTCTATCATTGCACATGAGTCTGGGTTTATGTCCTGGCCATTATATGGAGTCTAAGGGCATCTCTGTGATGTGTAGACTTTTTCCACACTTATAAGGATGTGGGCAGAAGAAAGCAGAAGAAAGACTTCTCTTCTCCAGTCCTCAAATGATGCATAACTAGCATCCTCTCATAGTTTCAAGGAGGAGAAAAAAGGCAGACTGAAATAGAGACAAGGTATCATTTGAAATCGATTCTATTCGCTGTCAGTGTAAAGCAAAGCAGAGATTAAGCATCTACTCTTCATTGTGTAACAGTTATGACTTTGGCTATGATAAGTGCAACTCTATTTTAGTACGTTTCTTTGGTGCCTACATATACAATAAAGGCTCTACTCCACAGCTGCTACACCTTTAAATGGGTGACATGTGAAAAAATTGCTGTCTTGTTTGTGTCAGACAGCCATTTCCCTCTAAAATACTTCTTGTTATTCCATATTTAATAAGTGCCCACTGAGTGCTGGGCAGTGTCCAAGACACAGCCACAGTCCCCGCCCACACACATGCATGTGCCAAAGCAATTTGGCAATCGGTGCTGTGATGTGCTTCTCTGACCATCGTGGATGGCTTTCTTCTGATACAAAGAGTGTCAACAGCAACCCAGCTGTAGATTTCTTCCAAGAAAGCTATAAAAGAAATTGAATGCATTTTGTTTGCTTAGTGAATTATAAAAGAAACCATAACAATGACTTGATAGTACATATAAAGACATTACAATTGCCAAGTACTTTCACAGCAGCTCTGTGTCATTGACTCTTACATTTTTTTTTTTGAGTTATTCAAGGCAGATATTACTATCTCCCTTATCCTCTGAGAGGTGAAGGGACTTTTCCAAGAATAAGAAGTAAATGGCAGAGCCAGGAGGAGATTCCCACTATTCTGATATTTCCTCCCAACCCCCAACCCTCAAGATATCACAAAGTCTCTCATTAGCTAAGAAGTTTCCAAGTATAAATTGTGAAATCTTGTATTTTAATCTTACTTTCTTTCATATGGGTAACAGATCCTAGGGAATAGTCCTTTAAATTGTCTTTTCCATCTGTAAAAAGTTTACTCTACAAAATCTTTATGTATAGATCAGTCACTATTTACCAAAGTTTTGGAATACATAAACCAACTAGGAAAAGCTTAGTTAAATATAATTAAAATTCTTTTGGGCTGTGATTATCTGAAAAATGGCACCATTTTCTAAAAATAGTGTTTTGCCTTTAGGCATTAATTTGATTTAAACATTTAGAATCACCTTTAATTATACACACACACATACAGAGAGAGAGAGAGGGAGAGAGAGAGAGAGAGAGAGTGTGTGTGTGTGTGTGTGTGTGTGTGTAATCACCAAGTTCCCTAGAGTTCCACAGAACATGAATAAACATATGGACTGTTCTCTTACACCTACTCCACAAGTCTGAGTATTGAGGATTTATATAGTTAGAGACTATGTGGTGTAAATATGTATAAATTTATATTGTGTTAATTTATGGCATGCGGTACAGAAGGCTGTTTGCAAGTTGCAGTGTACTTCTTCCCACGTTTATGCTGAAATATCATTTCTGGGTTCCTTCCCCATGTTTTCCTTTGTCTCCCCACAGATGTTTGGGCAGCTTGTTTTCAGGGGAGTGAATACATCTTGGAAGTATGCTTGCGGAATGCAATTCAGGTGAAGAATGCACTATCTCTATTGGGATTTGGCTGAAGGATATTCCCCCTTCGCCTTATGTCCTGCCCGCTTCTGTTATGAAGACAATTGCTCCAGGGTAGCCACACTCTTGGGGGCTGCCATTTCCTGGCCTGGGTGTCCTCAAGGTCCATAGAGCGGTTCTAAGTAGGTGAGTGGCATTTCATTATTTGTAAAAGGAAAAAGAAAAAAACAAAACCCTACACATCAAAATTCCTTTATGGCTGTTTGCCAAAGAAGCTGAGTTTTTACTAGAGGGGCTCCGAGAGAGTCCACCTCTAGTTATCTGTGGTTCTGTTGAAGGGGAAAGAGCGGTCATAGATGAATGAAGTTCACAGAGTGCTTACAAACCACAGCTTATTTAACCTGCTCTTTCACCGGTGTAAATTGTTAAAAAGTACTCATATCGACTTATTTGACTTAATCAATCTTCTTTCCTGGTCCTCCCATGGGGAGGTGTGCTAATGGGTAACGGAGATTGAGAAGGAGGCAGTGGGCAGGAAGAGGAAGGAAAACAGAGCCCCAAACTGAGTCGACAGCCCCTGAATGAATAAAAATCTGGCAGCGGATGGAGAGGGGTTTGACTCATCCATGAATGCTCTAGCACGAGGCTACTGCTTTCACAGACACTGTCTGTTTCTCCAAATTTAGGGGAAATTAGTGAGGAAACTATTTTTAGACTGTTTACTTCTCCTCTGCCCTTACAATGGCGCTGCTTATGAAATTTGAGGACAGACCTATTGAGAGACTAATGGAGTCATCTGCCATAGAGATTAGACAAGGATTTATGGATCAAAAGAATTGCTCTGCAGGTTTCTTTTAAGCACTATGAATTCACCAGCCCTTGCAATGACCCAACAATGGCAAACTAACATTTGTGCAGTCCTTTAATATTTTAACACTTAAAAAATATGTACATGTATATATATATATATATGTATGTGTATGTGTATATATATACATACTTTGCCACATCAACTCTTTGCAACTGTCTGGTAAGGTTCAAACTTTTCAGCAGAGAAAGAAAGGAAATTATAAGTGAGTGTCCTAAGGTCACATACTTGGAAAATGTCATTGGTGTAATTCAAACCCTAATCATCTTTCCAACATAAAGGTGCTGAGTGGTTGCACTTGAGCATTGTGAGTTGGGTGAAAAACCAAGTCTAAAATATTTACTGAAATCTAAGTTTTGCCAGCTTATCTGGTACTCTTGCCTTTTTCTCCATTGTCTTGCACTTCTCTGGACTTTATTATTCAACTTTGGCCACACCCAGTGAAAATGCAGGTATACACGTTCAGTTGGGAAAGAATTTTCACACCAGGGAGTCATACAAAAATGACAAAAACGTGTTTGGGTGGATTTTGGTCCAAGAGTTGTTTAAATGCCGGAGTAGAGTTTGAAATTTCAGTAGTGAGAAGCCATAGAAAGATTATAGAAATAATGAACACCTTCTAAGAATTTATAATTTACAAAACTCTTCGCCTACAATTTTTCGGTGAGTTCTCCTAACCATCCTTTAAGGAAGAAGTAGTATTTTGATCCCAATGTTACTTTTCAGGAAGTTGCGGCTTGGAGAAGGTGTGATTTTACTAGATTGGGTAGCCAGTCAATGATAAAACTCAATCTGTAAGCCAAGTAGTAAGTAGTGCTTTCAAAGCTTTGATCAGGGAATGGCTTACAGAATGTAGAATGTATTCAAAGGAGGGGAAACATTTAGAAGCTATTGCAGAAACCCATGGTGTGGAATTTTTTAAGTTAGAAATCTGAATGCAAACATCAGCTCTCAGGGCCATGATGCGGATTGTTGTTATTCTCAGTGTGATGGAAGCAAAGCGATGGTCTCTGGATCTAAAAACAGGTTAAACGCAGGCATGTGTCTTTCTCTTCATCTGACAGATAGATGAGTAATTGATTTCATTTACCAAACAGGCTGAGCACAACGTAAAATCATGCTACTCATCTAAACTGAAAAAATTCTCTATTTTCCAGAATAGTCTCAGAGCACCATGTGTGAGAGAACACGACAGAATAGAAACTGATTATGCAAAATGTGCGAGAGAGAACTGCAGCTCTTGGTGACATGTGGCAGCCTCATTGGGAAGGGAGTGCTGTGTAACTCTGGGTGCTGTCTCTGATGGCCACGTGTCACAAGCTGAATGGCAAAAGGGGGGTTAAAAACTGAGTTTGTGAATTGTTGCATGTAGTCCTCTGAGACATTCACGTGCCATGCACACATGCAAGGAGGTATCCTGAGAGGCCACTCTCAGCAGCAACACTCACCCACACAGAGGTAAGAGAGGGGAATGCCAGGATTTTTGTCTGTGTTTTTTTTTTTTTTTTTTTTTTTTTTTTGGTATTTTGTCCCAGAGTCCTTACTCTGGGCTGTGTAGACCCCTCTAAAGATATGACTACTCTATGAGAACCCCTCCCACCCAATGCGAAGATTGCAAAAGCTCTTAGGAGGATGGAAATGGTTACATGGTTGGATAGAGGGGCAGCAGGAACATGAGAGGCATAGAAGATTTTTTTTTCTTTTTTTTTCTTTTGAGACAGAGAATTCCAGACACAGCAGAGAATCAAAATGGTGTTTGGAAGATTACAAGCCTAGCAAACCTTTTGTGCTCAGGAGCTATCCAGAGTACTAGGCTGCCTCTACCTCCGGTTCACCTGAGCTGAGGCCAGAGTCTTCTGCTCGGTATCTGACATCAAGTCTCTGCCTTGGGCTTGGCTTCAGCTCTAATTCATACCAGCTTCCTTCCCTCTTCTGTGTTCTACTGGACTCCACTATTCTCAGAACCAACCATTTGCAAGCCGTGGGAAAGCCTGGTTTTGATAACCAGCTGCACCCAATGCCACCTTCACTGTGGTTTTAATAAGAGATAGCTTGTTTCCCTGGATGTTTCCCAGCCATAGTGGACACACACACACACACACACACACACACACACACACAGACGCGTGTGCGCGCATGCACACACACACATCATTAGATTTTGCAGACATGAGGTTTATATTTTTAGATAGATTTTTGCATAAGCACATTTGAATTTATGTACAATATGTCAGACCTTGCTTTACAGTGACCTGATTTAAAAAAGTTTTTTTCTACAGATTTCTCTGTATGTGCATATATACAGAAGCTTGTAGCAATCAGTATACAAAATAATGTCATCAGGGAGGGGTTGAGCAATGTAGAAAGAACTGAGTGCATTGATGTCTAATGCCTATTCTGGCTATGGGCAAATGTACAATGAGAAAATGATGTCAGTTCTAGAACAGGCTGGTGACTTGAGCATAAGCATCTGATTCCCTGCATCTTAATCTTGATGTAAATGAGCAATTAAATGTCTAAAGAGAGTGTCTCAGATTGGAGAGACTCCCACTGGCCAGATCTGGGAAATTCTGAACTAAAATAATTAAGTACAGTAATGACTTTTAAACCATTGGAAAAAAAAAAAGTAGGAAATCATGCATCCATGCTGATAACAAATAGATAAATAAATAATTCAGGGAGAAGAGAGGGCTCTTGTTTACAGTTGAGTGCTAGAGACCAACTGGTAAAAACTGTAAAATCATCATCTTGCAAGCATCATGGTAAAGACTGAAATAGGCGAGAAATGTGGTTAAATGCTAAATCACATAGGAGATTTAGAAGAGCAGGATATTTACACATATTAAAGTGTGTATGTGTGTGAGAGAGAGAGACACAGAGAGAGAGATGGAGAGAGAGGAAAAGAAAAAGAAGGAAGGAAAGAAAGAGAAAGAAAGAAAGAATAAAGAAAGAAAGAAAAGGAGGAGGAGAGGAAGGAAGGAAGGAAAGAAGGGGAAGGTTTTTGAAATGCAGATATTTTTCCCTGAAATGTTGGTTGGCAGTGATGGAAACTAAGATGGACGTAATGAGCCTCAAAGAAAAATTGAGTTGGCCCCACACAATTTCTCGATAATCTTCAAATACAGTAGATAATGGAAACAACGTCTAAAAAGTTTTGAGAGGATGTCGATTCATGAATTTCACAACAAGCCCAGTGATTGTTCTGAGAAAGACAAAGAAAAATATTGTAAACTAAGCAATGACTGTGAAAATGTAAAATTTATGTATTCTTTTTGACAACTATTCTAGCTAACCAAGTGATTAACCAAAGTAACGTTCAAGAACACAGAAACTCTGGTACAAAAGTACTAAAAGTGAGTCTTAAAACTATTTAAACCAGTTATTCTAAATAATATTTATTGTATGATTGAAGAGATAGAATGCAAAATATCATTTATTTTAACATTTCCTAATAGACAAAATGTTCAACATAAAATGATGATCATATTAATAATAATTTAAACTATGAAATTACATATAAAATTCCATATTAACGGCCGAGTGCAGTGGCTCATGCCTGCAATCCCAGCACTTTGGGAGGCCGAAGCAGGCGTATCATCTGAGATCAGGAGTTCAAGATGGGCCTGACCAACATGGTGAAACCCCATCTCTACTAAAAATACAAAATCAGCCAGGTGTGGTGCCACATGCCTGTAATCTCAGCTACTCAGGAGGCTGAGGCAGGAGAATCAGTTGAACCCAGGGGGCGGAGGTTGCAGTGAGCTGAGATCGTGCCACTACACTCCAGCCTGAGCGACAGAACAAAACTCTTGTCTCAAAAAAAAAAAAAAATTCCATATTAACTAACAAAAATTGGGGTTGCAGGGGAAAAGGGATGAGAAAGCATAAGTGTGTTAATTTTGATATTTTACACAGTGGGCACTATGTGAATCAGAAAACTGACATGAAACTGATCATTCATGCCCAAGGTATAACTGAGGAGAGTTAAATGAAGGTTTATCATAACCCTTGTAGGAGGTTATGCGGGACCAGCAAGAGATGGCGAAACACTTGGGGATAGTATGAGCAGGTAGCTGTTACCAACTCCTAGGTCTGCAGAGGTAAGGAAAAGAAAAATAGATAATTATAGAAGCGCTTCCTGCCAGGAGCTGCAGCCTTCAAGAGAAGCACACAGCTGTGCCAATCCATGGCCCTACAGGAAGGGCACCAGGGAAGTAGATAGAGTGGGCTCTTTCCTCCCACACTTCCATCTCCTGCCAGAGCCTCATGGGCTGAACCCAACTGAGACCCAGAGGAAGAGGAAACCCAGCTGAAGCCCATAGAAGAAAGTCTCTGAGCCATCAAGCAGAGTGGAGAAAGCTGGAAAATAAACCTCAGGAGGAACCAGAGAATATTTAGGGCAGATGACAGTAGTACTTTTATTTACTAATATTTACATAAAAGGTGCAAAAATGTAAATATCAGCACCACATTTTTCCAATAGTTTTCTATAAGACAATTGTTTCACTAAAGGTTTGTTGGGAAAGGGATTCTGTGTTCAAATAAATTTGGCCTGTTGTGTATTTTCTGCTGTTGTAGCCTAAAATTCATTAACATATTAAAAATTATAAGAACTACAGTGAGAAGGCTGTTTAATTCATCCTGAATTTCCCAAACATATTTAATGGCACAATTTCTTTGCTGTGAGTAACAGCTCTTAATACCCCCATGAAACTTTGGGAAATAACATATGAACAGATTTGAGACTATGATACATACTTTACAAATCACAACTGATGAAAAATTTATAATAAAAAGATTTTAAGGTAGTAATAGCAAGGAGCCCTACAGGAACAGAAAGCTTAATATTAGTAACAGATGTAAGGTGAGGATATCAATTTTGCCAATATATAAAGGACAAAACTCCCTCACAGAAATACAAAGATTCTAAAAATAAAAAAAAGAAAATCCAGAAGAATTATTGTCTTCTATAAGTACATTTAAAACTAAAGAAGGTTAAAAGTAAAAGTTTGGAAATCACATGTAAGGAAGTCTTACTTTGAAATATACAAATGTACTTTTCCTTTGAATTTGCCTCCTGGCTGGGCATAGAGAGGGCAAGGGGAGGATGAAAATATTATGACTGAAATGCAAGAAGAAAGAGTTGGCTGGGCACAGTGGCTCATGCCTGTAATCCCAGCACTTTGGGAGGCCAAGGTGGGTGGATTGCTTGAGCTTAGGTGTTCAAGACCAGCCTGGACAACATAGTGAAACCCTGTCTCTACCAAAAATACAAAAAATTAGCAGGGCATGATGGCGTACACCTGTGGCCCCAGCTATTTGGGAGGCAGAGGTGGGAGGATGGCTTGATCCCGGAGGTGGAGGCTGCAGTGAGCAAGATCATGCCACTGTACTCCAGCCTGGATGACAGAGGGGGACTCCCATCTTTAAAAAAAAAAAAAAAGAGTTAATATTCAATTTCTGAGATGTGAATCTAGAAAGCCAGGCTATAGAGGAAAAATGATTACAATTTTTTTAAAATCCCTCTTCTACATAATAAGAGGTGGACCTGGTGGATCAGTTTTCTTTATGCTTTGGGCCTATAGAAGAAGCACATGACAAAGAAGAGGTGAAAAACCCAAATCCCGTCTCTTTCAGCTCCCCCAGAATAGTGAGAAAATAAGGGAGCCAGAGTAGGAGAAATGGGCAGTCAGATATATTTCCTGATCCCCAGGCTCAGCTTTCAGTTTGAGAAGGGATGTTAGGCAGGTTAAGGAAAATGCTGATTGCAGATCACCTTGACCCACTTCCCTTTCACGATGGCAAAAGGTGACCATTCACTGTTCCCACAAGCTGAAGGTGACACATGAAACTAAATTCAGTGACGTCATATGGTTAGGCAGATAAAGGATCTTGGTTTAGTCCCACAGGGTTGCTCAAGTTGTGGACAGAATAAAGAATTTCTAGTGTGCCTTGCAGAGAGATGTCAAAGGTAGCTAAGAGTGTTGTCTGAAGAGCTTGCCTGTATGGGTTTTTGTGCAGTGGCCCTATACGTGAAGGTTGTGGGGAAGATGGGTCAATCTGGAGGAAGAATGAGTGAGTCTTAGCCAGAACACAGGGTTTCCCTGGGCCAATGACCACTGAGATAAAGCCTGGTCATCAAGAAGAGATAGCCATTGCTCCATAGACCACATTGCTTCAGCTCTAGGAAAATAGCCAGGAATGGGACTATTGAGTCTCTGTTCACTAGTTCTGGCTGGTGGCCAGTAAGAATACATAGGTCACTTGGTTCATACTTAATCATTCCTCTGCAACCACAGGGATGAGGAAGACACACACACCATTGCCCCCCAAATCAGATATCATCTTGGAGACAAGTTGGAGGAACTTAGTGACTAACTGTCCAAGTTTGTCTGGGACTTAGTGGTTTTCCGGTGTGCAGGACTTGTAATGTGAAAACTGGAAAACTTTTAGGAAAACCAGTATAAATTGGTCACCCTAGGAGGATGGCAGAACTTTGAAATACTTGATGTTATTTTCTCATCTAAGCAGAAATTGTGCTACTTACAGAGACAATTTAAACTGATGCATTGGAATGATTCATCCAAATTGGGATAAAATTTATTCCCTGATCCTCCCTCTCTTCCACAGCTCTTCAGCACTGTGAGATCAGAGCAATTACAGACCAATTTTATTACACATCTGAATGTAATGAGATATATCATGCAAAAGAAAAACCATCACCACAATAAAAAAACTAAATAAACAGCACAACACAAAATATAGTAGAACTTCTGCTTCTGCTTATGAAGGAATAACTGCTCTAGAATTAAGCAACTGTTTTCAGACATTAGACAACAGAGGGTGCAGGACTGTGATCTCTAGAGCAGAAAAATAAATGAGCATGTCCTATGATTCCTGCAGTTTCTCACCTGGAGGCAGTTTCCTGGCCATAGCACAGGGAGGGGAAACCCAAACATAAGCCAGCAGTCGTGTTGAGTTAAGAAAGACAGAGACTGACATTCAGGAAGCATAAGGCAGCCAAAATAAATGGTACAAATACTGATGGAGAAGGAGAGAGAGAAAGAGAAAGAGAGGAGAGAAAGAGAGATAGGTGTGCAGAAAGATACCCTTGATTTTTTGGCAGAAAAAAAATTTTGGAAAAGAACTTCCAGAATGGAGGCTGAAAAAATTCCCAAGCTCACGTGAGACTGGAAATAGATCACATCGCCACCAGTCAAAGAGGAGAGAGTTTGTAATAAATGGGTATTGGGTATAAAATTCAGAAAGGGCTCTCCCTAGTAGTGGGGCTAAATTAGTCATAGACAAACTGTTTTTCTGGCCTTGTCCTAGCAAAGGTTAAAAGCAAAGCTTTGATAGGATCAAACTGATTTGAAGTTACATAACTGCATTCCAGAACAAAGTCCCATGCTAAATGAATACAGTATAATCCAGCATCCGATAATGTGAAGTTCACAATGTCTAGTATTCAATAAAAATATTAACAGGTATGAAAAGTGGCAGGAAAATATAGAACTTGTAACAAAAGAAACAATCAATAGAAAGAAAACATTTCAGAAATAACAGAGATGCTGAAACTAGCAGACAAAGACCTTAAAGCAGCTATTATAAATATGGTCAATGGTAGCCAGGCGCAGTGGCTCATGCCTGTAATCTCAGCACTTTGGGAGGCCGAGGTGGGTGGATCGCTTGAGCCAAGGAGTTCAAGACCAGCCTGAGCAATGTGACAAAACCCTGTCTCTACAAAAAATACAACAATTAGCTGGGCGTGGTGGCATGTGCCTGTAGTCCCGGCTACTCAGGAAGCTGAGGTGAGAGGACTGCTTGAGCCCAGGAAGTTGAGGCTACAGTGAGCCATGATTGTGCCACTACAATCCAGCCTGGGTGACAAAGTGAGACTCTGTCTCAAAGAGAAAACCCCAAAACAAACAACAACAACAACAACAACAACAAACTATGGTCAAGGATATCAACATAATGAGAAAAGAAATGAAAGATTTAAAAAATAAAAAACTAAATTGAACCTCTAAACATGGAAAACACTATACCTGAAATGAAAACTACAGCAAACAGGATCAACAGCAGATTGGACATTGCAATGAACTGGAAAACGTAGCAATATAAATGCCTCAAAATAAAACAAATTATTTTTAAAGCCTGAAAAAAATAGAGTGTCTTGGCTCATTTTTGTTGCTATAATAGAATACCTGTGACTGGGTAATTTATAACAAAAAGAAGTTTAGTTGGCTCACAGTTCTGGAGGCTGAGAAATTCAAGGGCATGTAGGCAGCTTCTGGTGAGGGCTTCGCACTATGACATAACATGATGGAAGAGCAGAAGGGCAAGCAAGCACATGCACAAGAGCTCACTAGAGCAATCTGAGCTTGCTTTTACAAAAACCTGTTCTCTTAGAACTAACTCACCCTTTTTTGTTTTGAGACGGAGTCTCACTCTGTTGCCCAGACTGGAGTACGGTGGCCTGATCTTGGCTCATTGCAACCTCCGCCTCCCGGGTTCAAGCAATTCTCCTGCCCCAGCCTCCTGAGTAGGTGGGATTACAGGCACCTGCCATGATGCCCAGCTAATTTTTTGTATTTTTAGTAGTGATGGGTTTTCACCATGTTGGCCAGGCTGGTCTTGAACTCCCAACCTCAAGGGATCCACCCACCTCAGCCTCCTAAAGTGCTGGGATTATAGGTGTGAGCCACCGCGCTGGCCAAGCCACCCTTTCAGTAACCACACTGATCCATTCATAAGGAACGGGTTTGCTCTCATGACTCAATCACCTCTTAAAGGCTCCACTTTGTAATAGTGTTACATTGACAATTAAGTTTTCAACACATAAGCTTTTCAGGAACACATTCAAACCATAGCACAGAGTACTAGTAACCTGTAGGAAAATATCAAGAATTTTGACATACATGTAATTGGAGTCCCAGAGGAGAAGAAAGAAGGAAAAGCAGAATATTTAAGGAATGTTGGGTAAATCTTTTAAAACTTGATGACAGACATAAACTCATAGATCCTAGAAGCTCAGTGAACCCAACAAGAAATATAAGACCACACCAGGGCACATTATAAACAAATTGTTTAAAACCAGTTATGAAAAGAAAATAATAAAGGCAACAAGAGGAATAAAAACACATTATGTGCAGAAGCAGCAAGATAAGGATGACATCAGCCTTCTTGTTGAAAATAATGCAAGGTAAATGATAGTGAGGCAATATCTTGAAAGTATGGAAAGAAAAATCTGTTGGCCTAGAATTCTGCACTGTGCAAAATATCTTTCAAAAATGAAGACAAAATAAAGGCTTTTTCACAAAAACAACAGCTAAGAGACCTCATTGCCAAAAAAGCTACACTATAGAATTTTAAAGAAAGTTATTTAGGCAGAAGAAAAATAATATTAGATGTAAATTTGGATCCATATACAAAAACAAAGGAATGAAAAGTGCCGGAAATGAAAAATATGTGGGTAAGTACAAAAGTCAATGTTTTATTATTTTAAAGTCTCTCTAAAAGATAATTGCTTAAAGCAAAATTAATAAAAAATACATATTGGGGCATAACATATGGAAATCAAATGCATGATAACTGTAGTATAAAGGACAGGAGGGTAGAAATGAAAGTGTACCATTGTGAGTACTAGTGCGAGGCTCTTAAATTATACTTAAAGTGGTATATTATTTGAAGATAGACTATGGTAAGTTAAAAATGTTATCTTATAAATCTTGGAGTAAGCACTAAAAAATAAAGGAGAATAGCAATAGTGGAGATTGAGTGGAATCCTGAAAAATACTCACATCAAAAGAAGGCAGGAAAAAGAAAAAAGTAACCAAAATATATGAGACAAAGAGAAAATAAGCAGCAAAATGTAGCTTTAAACCCAATAAAATAAAAAATTACATTAAACTTAAATGACCTAAACATTCCAATTAAAAGGCAGAGATTGTCAGACTAGATGAGAAAGTGAGACACAAATACAGTATATAGATAAGAAATTCATTTAAATATAAAGAAGGGTATTATTTCAGTTACTTAGTAATAAATGCAGTGAGTGGGCTTGACTTTACAGTTAGACTCCATTATCGTCATCATTGTCCTCAAGGAGGTAGTCCTCTGCAACCAAATAGAAATTAATTTTAGTTAATTAATTTTAGTTGGCTACAAACAACTAACTCAGCCAACTCGTGCCAACACAAAAAAAGACACTTTGTCTTTTTTGGAAAGACACAAAGGTACTTCATGAAACTGTGACTCCCCCTGAGAAACAGAACTAGGAGCTGTAATGTCAGGAGTGTCTCTCAGTTTCTTTATGGCCCCTTAGTCCCCACCCCTCCCAAAGTGCTTGGATTATAGGCTGTGCCCAGCCTGTATATAGGATTTTATTGTACAAATACACTGTAGTTCTTCCGTTCTACTTTTGATAGACAGATGAGTTGCTTTCAGTTTGGGACACTGCGAACCCTGGGGTTATGAATGGTATTGCACATATATCCTAAAGCACAGGTTTCACGAATTTTTCAAGGGTGTTAAATCTAGAAGTGACTTGCTTGGCCACAGAAAGTATCTTTAATTTTACTAGATACTGCCAAACTGCTTTCCAAAGTGGTTCTACCAAAGTGGTTTACTGGATACTGGCAAACTATTTCCCATCAATATTTCAGGAGATTTACTGTACTAGTAACTCCATAACATCACTAGTACTTAGTCTTGTCAGACTTGTTAAGTTTTGCCAATCCGGTGGATGTGTAGAAGCCTGTGGGCTGAATTTGCATTCCATTATTTTCTAATGAGGTTGAGCACCTTTTCATTGTTTTTCAGCATGTATGTTTCCTCTTTTGTAGAGTGCCTTTTCAAGAGCTCTCTTTCTTTTGGGGCTTTGTAGTGTACCTTTTCAATGTCTCTCTTTCAACTGGAGTTTGTGTCTTTCTTACTGATTTGATGAAATATCCTAGAAACAAGTTATTTATCCAGTATTGCAAATACCTCTTATTCTCTGGCTTTTCTCTTCCCTTTCTTCCTTTTTTTTTTTTTTTGAGACAGAGTCTCACTCTGTCGCCCAGGCTAGAGCACAGTGGCACAATCTCGGCTCACTGCAACTTCTGCCTCCCAGGTTCATGCCATTCTCCTGCCTCAGCCTCCGGAGTAGCTGGAACTACAGGCGCCCACCACCACACCCAGCAAAATTTTTCCATTTTAGTAGAGACAGAGTTTCAGCATGTTAGCCAGGATGGTCTCCATCTCCTGACCTCGTGATCCACCCACCTCGGCCTCCCAAAGTGCTGGGATTACAGGCGTGAGCCACTGCGTCTGGCCTCTGTTCCCTTTCTTTATAGAGTTTTTTAATGAACAGTTCTTCATTTAAATATGGATAAGTTTATCAGTTTTTTCCTTTATTCTACTTCATGTATCTGGTTTAAAATATTTTTCTTTTTATTTTATTCTATTCAATTTTTATAAAAAAGAGTCAAGGTATTGCTGTGTTGCCTAGGCTGGTCTCAAACTCTGGGACTCAAGTGACCCTCCTGCCTCAGCCTCCTGAGTGGCTGGTACTACACTGACATGCCACCATGCCTGGGCAACATTTTTTTCTATATATTCTAAAATATTATCCTAGCCTATCCTGTGTATATTTTCCAATCTATACTGCCATCTTAAAAGATTATACTTTTGGCCAGGTGCGGTGGCTCACGCCTGTAATCCCAGCACTTTGGGAGGCCTAGGTGGGTGGATCATTTGAGGTCAGGAGTTTGAGATCAGCCTGACCAATATGGTGAAACCCCATCTCTACTAAAATACAAAAAATTAGCGGGGCCTGGTGGCGCATGCCTGTAGTTATAGCTACTCCGGAGGCTGAGACAGGAGAATCGCTTGAACCTGAGAGGCAGATGCTGCGGTGAGCCGAGATCACACCACTGCACTCCAGCCTGGGCAATAGAGCAAGACTCTGTGTCAAAAAAAAAAAAAAAGAAGATTATACTTTTGCTTATTTTTAGATCTATAATTCTTTTTGTGTTGATTTTTGTGTAAGAATGTGAGATATGGGTCCAATTCTGTGCAATTAGCATTATTTGTAAAGGGCAATATTTGTAAAGGGAGTCAAGACTCTCCTTTCTCACTATTCTCCAGTGTCATTTCTGACATCAGCCAAGTGTCTATATGTGTGCAATCTGTCTCCCGGCTCTCTTTTTTGTTCCACTAGTCTTGCATCGATACCATTTAATTAACACAGCTTCTTAAGTTTAGATATTTTGTAGAGAAAAGAAAGACTCTCATCTTTTTCTTCTCCAGGAGAGTTTTGTTATTCTTGGCCTTTGTTATGTTCCCATAAAAGTTATTTTACTTTTTTGTCCAATATCACACAGAAAAACACATGGGGAGCAAGTGGTCTTTAGAGTTTAATTGGAATTGTATAGCTTTATAGATCAATATGAAGAAAAATGACATTTTTATAATATATAGTTTTCTTACCCATGTACATCATTGTAAATATTTCAATTTAACTCTTATTTTTAAAATGTTTTAAAATTTTCTCTGCAGAGTTGTTTTGTTAAATATATTCCTAAGTAACAGATATCCCTGATGATGATATAAACGTTATATATTCATTAATTTTATTACCTGTTTGTTGCTTTTATAGAGAAATACAGTTGCTTTTTCAATTTTGATTTTATATCCTCCAGTATTTCTAAGCTCACTTATTGATTCCAATAATTCATCTAAAGATTCTTTTGAATATTCATACACATTAATATAAAATTAATTATATCATCTGTGAAAAATAATAATTTGCTTATCCCATTCCTATCCTTATAGCATTTGCTTTTCCTTACTGATTGGCAGGACCTCCAGTACAACACTGAATAGCCTTGGTAACAGTGGTCACCTTTGCTTGCTTAATGCCTCTTCCATACTTTAACATACTACTTTTTTATATCTTTATGTTTTATATTTCTCTTATAATGATTATATCCTTGACTTTGACTTTTTTCCTGTCTGACAATTTCTTAATCTCTTAATTGAAGCATTTAGTCCATTTACTTTTTTTTTTTTTTTTTTTTTTTTTTTTTGAGACAGAGTCTTTCTCTGTCACCCTGGCTGGAGGGCAGTGGTGAGAGTTCGGCTCACTGCAACCTCCACTTCCCAGGTTCAAGCGATTCTCCTGCCTTAGCCTCCCAAGTAGCTGGGATTACAGGTGTCCGCCACAGTGCTCAGCTAATTTTTGTGTATTTTTAGTAGAGACAAATTTTCACCATGTTGTTCAGGCTAGTTTTGACCTCCTGGCCTCGAGTGATCTGCCTGCCTCGGCCTTCCAAAGTGTTAGGATTACAGGCATGAGCCACCGTGTCCGACCCCATTTACATTTAATGTAATTACTCATGTACTTTGGTTTGAGTTTAATTCACCATTTTATTATGTTCTTTCTACTTGTGTCACCTGTTTTATTTTCTTTTTTCTTATTTACTTGATTAATTTTATTTTCTGCATTATTTCATTTTCCTCCCAACTATCACTTTCTGTTATTTTAATATTTCCCTAGAAATTACAGTAAGGACCACAATATTCCAAAATCAAATGTTAAATTAGTAGATTTCACTTCTTTCTAAAAAGTACAAGAATCTTAGAACACTTCAGTTTCATTTGTTTATCCCCAACATATACGCTATTGTTGCTGTGTGTATTAATTATATATTTATATGTGTGGGTGAAACTTTCACAAAATAAAGTTCATGGCCATTTCTTCCAGCTCAGCAACTGCCTTCAAAGCTAAAGTATCTTTGAGTATTACACTTATTTTCTATATTTCTGGGGTTTTGCCTTCTGTATTTGGTCTGAAATTTTCTCATTCTGTTTTTAGGTGTTTAAATCTTTTCTGAATGAATAACTAACATTCCATTAGGAGACAATCAAATTAGTCTAAGTGAAAGATTATAAGACCTTGAACAAAAGTAGTGACAATGTGGATGCAATGACAAGGAAATATTTAAGAAAAACTAATGAAGGACTGGTTTTAGTTCCTGAGTTCCTGTGAAAGATGCAAGACAAATGTTCCTTCTATAATCATCTATATCTCAAATACTTCCAAAACTTTAATGCCAGGAAAAATTTCTTTCCATTCTAATTTGTGTGTTTTTCTCCCCTCAGGTTAAAAAGTAAATAATTCTCACTCTCTGTAGGTAGCTAGGGGCACAATTTAATGCTCAGTCATAGCACTGACTTAGCTTCTGTGTCTTACTTAGCCACTTTGTATTTCAGAATGGCTTTTAATTGCCTTATGCATGTTTAAGTAATGTTTTATGTATTTTTAACATTTAAACTTTCTTAATCATTTTTGAAAATAAGAAAAATAATAAATTTGGGGGTAGATTGGTTAATAAAATTAAGGTAGTTTCAAATATTTCTCTTATTAAGAGATGTAATTTTATGACTCATTCAAGCAAAATAAGTATTATATAAATATAGTTACATGAATTTGGGGGAATCATTATATAATTTTTAATTTAATTTTTATTTTATCCTCAGCTCCACTGCTCTCCACCTCTGAGTTCTAGTCACCTGAGGAGATAATCACATTCAATCCTTTTAACATTCTTTTTTATATTTACAATAACATTTAAAAATAAGTGGTTTATGTGTTTGTCTGTTTTCACGCTGCTGATAAAGACATACCCGAGACTGGGTATTTTACAAAAGAAAGAGGTTTGATGGACTTATAGTTCCACGTGGCTGGGGAAGCCTCACAATCATGACACAAGGCAAGGAGGAGCAAGTGAAGTCTTACAGCAGGCAAAGAGAGAACTTCTGCAGCGAAACTCCCGTTTTTTAAAACCATCAGATCTCGTGAGACTTGCTATCAAGAGAACAGCACAGGAAGGATTTGCTTCCATGATTCAATTACCTCCCACCGGGTTCCTCCCATGACACGCGGGAATCGTGGGAGTTACAGTTCAAGATGAGATTTGGCTGGGGACACAGCCAAACCATATCAGTTGATATTACTATTCATAATTTAAAATTTAACTACTAATTATTTTTTTCTTTTATGGAGATAAAAATTTAACCCTCTTACACCCTGTCCCTTATATACACATACACATAATACTTCCAATTTCTTCAACTTCCCAATATTATTATAATTATGATTATAATTATGTTAAAATTGTTCAAGCTAAGGCACAAAAGGTGATATAAGTATATTTACTCTTTTTGAACGACTTTTTGTTTTTTCTAGAATTTACAGTTGTCCTGTTGTTTTCATGCACTTTTTTTATATACCATGTTTTCTTCCCCTAAGCACTTCTGTAAAGATGTAAAATAAATCACTTTCTCATGAGCAAAACACAGGGAACTGAATCTACTCTGTATTTTTCTCATCAGTATCTCTCCTAGAATCCATAACCTCCTGATTTAATCCGAATCTGAATGTAGCTTTCATCCTGAGCCTTCTCTTCATCATAACACTGGAAAATCTCTGATCCTGTTGCCTGGATTTATTCTCCTTCTCTTTATTGCTTTATTCTCTTGCTTAAATGGAATGCATCCTCCTATAGCTTCATGAGAAAGAATATGTGAAAAGTTGATTTTTGAGAACTTGTGTGTTTTCTAATGTCTTTTCTTTTGATACTTGATTAATAATACCTTTATTATGTAGAATTCTAGGTTGGACTAATTTTTCCTGATAATTTTCAAGGTATCATTGTGTTGTTTTATAGCTTCCAATTTCGCTATTCAAAAAAACAGCTCCATATGATTACTGATTATTGGTGTTTGATCTTCTCTTTTCTCCAGCAGCCTTTATGGTTTATTTCTTATTTTAGGTTCTGAAATTTTACAATTATATTTTATTTAATGTTAGTTTTTTCTTCATTCATTTTAGCCATCAATGGAACCTTTCAATCTGCAAATGAATGATCTTCAGTTTTCGACATTTTTCTTGTATAACTTATGTGATAATATCACCCCTTTAATTTTTCTATTTTTCTATTTTACTAGAATTTTATTAATCCATTTAGGCCCCCTAATTTTCTTTTCTTTCATGTTTTTCATATTTTTGTGCTTTTATTGTACTTTCTGAGAGATTTCCTCAAATTTACCTTGCATGTTATTATTTTCAAAAAAATCTTATTGATTCAATGCCCACAAACATTTGTGGAGTATTTATTATATTGAAGTTACTATATTTAAGGCTGGTTGTGGGGAGAAAAACAAGTATAAAAAGTCCCTCAATTCAAAAAACTTATAATCTGCAAATTTATAAGCAAATACCTATAAAATAAAAGCTATGGTAATTTGAGTTAACAAATCTGAAAGTAAAGAAGGAAGAACTGTTGTAACTATTATTCTCATTTCTCAACCAGAAGTGCAACTAGTGAGAATATTAGCAAGTTAATTAAAAAAAAATATTACTAGTGGGCACAGTGGTTCACGCCTGTAATCCCAGCACTTTGGGAGCAGGAGGCAGGAGGATCCCTTGAGCCCGGGAGTTTGAGGGCAGCCTTGGCAACATAGGGAGACCCCATTTTCTACAAAAAATAAAAATAAAAAATTAGACTGGTGTGGTGATACATGCCTGTGGTCCTAGCTATTCAGAAGGCTGAGGTGGGAAGATCGCTTGAGCCCAGGAGGTGGAGGCTATAGTGAGCCATGATCATGCCACTGCACTCCAGCCTGGGCAACAAATCGAGACCCTGTCAAAACACACACACACACACACACACACACACACACACACACACACACACACACACCAAATTACTAGTGATTATATTAAGAAAGCAGATGAATTTTCTATTCAGATTGACACTACTGAAGATAAAACTTTGATTGACATTATAGTTCAGTAATTCTAATGTATGTCTCAGAGCCCATGCTAGACATAATTAGCATAAGGTTAAATTCTGGAGAAAATACATCCCATCCCATTACAGAATATTTTGAGATCAAATAATAGTGCTCTTAAACAAGTGTAGGATATTCAACTACTGGCACACTCTACATGAAGAAATCACTCAATTGGTTTTTGTCCTGGTTAAAAAAAGAGTCATCTAACCAAGGTCACATATGGGATTATTCACAAGTCTTAAATCTCGTAATAGAATGGATAATGGGGACGCAAGAAGGGATATTTCACAGTTTTGACTCAAAATGTCTGAGCAGCATTTATAATAGAGCAACATAAAAGAATTGCTATTTGACACAAACAGCGGGAGACTCTGATCCACTTTTCTCAGTATTATGGAAGCAAGACAGGGTTGGTTCTAGAAAAGGAAGTTGAAAGACAAAGCTGTTTTGCTGTGAGAAAACCCACTCAAGTAAATAGTGGCTTTTTGTGCCTCAGGGTCTAGAAGGAAATGCTAACTGAAATTGTTGGGTGGATGGGGACAATGTTTTGTCTGCAGATATGAAAGATGCTCCTCTGCGGGATATGCTGGCATTTGACATTGCTAAAGAAAGCTTAACTGTTCTGTGACTACTGTTCTTAACTGGAATCCTTCCATTTCAAGGACCTCTCATCACTGGGCCCCAGTCTTGGGAGTAGCTTTGAGAAAGTGGTACAGCACATAGCTTTGTTGAGTTTTTGTGGTCACAATCTATAACATTGCGTCCGCGTCATAGCTAACCCAAGTTTTGTCAAGGGATAAACCTGCACTAGGGCTGTGGACAGCAAAATGAAGCATGCTTCTGCATGTCTAAAATAAGTGGATTAGGCAACTCATTTCATTGATTTAACTGAATCAGACCTCTGTAAAACTGATCCAAACAGCTATGTGGCAATTAGCTGGTTGCACGCCATAAAAATTGAGTGGTTCATGAGTGGTTTGTATGTTTAATGGATTTCTTCCTTCAAAACATTATTTTTGTATCTTAAAAGCTTAACACAGTGTTTGGCACAGCACAGGTGCTCCATAAACATTTGTTAAATGAGTTAGCTCTAAGAAGTCAGACTAAGCAATTTAGTTCCACTCTTACTACCTGCTGTGCTAAAACTCTCCTTGGCTGATTACATATGACACTTACAAAACCTTTGTTGTTTTTTATATTGCATTTCATCAGTTCCTATTAGGTTTAAGGAAAAGAGGTGGAAATAGTTTTTCGGCAAATATTTACGGAATATCTACCATGTTCAATGCACTGTAGAATTCTGAGACCATCTTTGCCCTACAATAGCTTACATCCTCAAAGAGGAGATAAGAGATATACACACAAGCACAGTCTCAGAATTACAGATCTCTAATTAATAAATTTATTCACATGCAATTGGTATGCTCCAAATATTATATATGGGGTACAAATCCCCTTTTGCTTAATGCTTAATATTGTTTAATGTTGAGACTAAAATGACTCTAGGCCATCCCTGGCTATGAGTAACAGGTTTTTTTTTCAGAGTTCACTTTGCTAAGTATTTCTAGAAAAGTTCTGGGGGTTGCTGTGGTGGTTTATTTTCATTTGTCGTTTCTTGAGTATATTCTCCTCTTCTATCTGCCAGCTCTGAGCACCAGGACATTGACCTCTGCTGGCTGCACTCTTACACCGCTCACGTTCCATGATCCATGGGCTTCTGGTTGGGTTGGGCCAATGGGAGGCAGTGGCAGGAGATGGGAGAGGGGAGTGTAGAGAGAAAGAATGGAGTTTTCACCCCTCTTCCTCCCTGCCTTGGAGCTGTTCTGAGAGCAGCTGCATATCTCTCAGCTATAGGTCCCGTCTGGAGACCCACCGCTCAGCTCACTGGAGGCTATGGTAGCATCATTCATCCCTTGCCCCTCGTGATGGTTAATGCTATGTGTCAACTCAACTGGGCCACCTAGTGCCTAGATAATTGGTCAAACATTTTTCTGGATGTGTCTGTGAAGATGTTTCTGGATGAGATTAACATTTGAATTGGTAGACTAAGTAAAGCAGATTGCCCTCCTCAATGTGGGTGGGCTTCATCCAGTCAATTGATGTCACAATAGACAAAAAGATTGAGTAAGAAGGAATTCCTCCCATCTGGGTGCTTGCACTGGGACACCAATCTTCTGCCTCTGGACTCAGACTTGAACTGGAACTTACATCTTCATTCTCCTGGGTCTCCAGCTTGCTAACTACAGATTTTGGGATTTCTCAATCTCCATACTCATGTTAACCAATTCCTTATGATAAATCTCATTCTATAGATGAAGAGGTAGGTAGGTAGATAGATACACAGACAGACTGACAGACAGACAGATAGATAGATAGACAGACAGATAGATAGATATAGCTTCCCACTGCTTTCAGCCTCTGGGTGCCTCAGCATTCCTTGTTTGTTCTCTGGCTGCATTCTCATCATTGTAAATAGTCCTTCAAAAAAGTTTCTCAAAATCACAGTTGAATTTACCATCTGTTTTCTGCTGGGAGACTCATACAGTTGCTCATGAACATCAATGAAAATTCATGATGCCAGTTAGGAGGGTACAGGAATTCAGACACCCTGAGCTCAGAGGCACATTAAGGCCCACTTCCAAAACTGCTGGCCTCCAGACACTCCCACCCGCATCTCTAGGTTTGTTCAACAAGGCCCCATCTCCCTCATTTGAGTGAAGGTTTGATGTTGCCTAGAAAATAAATAATTTGGATAGTTCATTTACTATAACAGAATTCCCCAATCTGGAGGTGCTGGAGAATGAAACTGATATGTAAAGATTTGGTTTGACAGTCACGCATCACTTAACGACAGGGATGCACTCCGAGAAATGTGTTGTTAGATGATTTTGTCATTGTGCAAACATCATAGACCTAGATGGTACACAGACCTAGATGGTAGAGCCTACTACATACATAAGCTAGATGGTAGAGCCCATCACTCTCATGCTACAAACTTAGACAGCATATTACTGAACTGAATACTGTAGGCAATTGGAACACAATAGTAAGTATTTGAGTATCTAAACATACCTAAACAGAGAAACAGTACACTAAAATACAGTATAAAAGATTAAACAATGGTACACCTGTAAAGGGCACTTACTATGAATGGAGCTTGCAAGACTGGAAGTTGCTCTGGGTGAGTCAGTGAGTGAGTGGTGAGTGAATGGGAAGGCCTGGGATGTCACTGTACACTACAGTAGACTTTATAAATGCTGTACACTTTGGCTACACTAAATTTAGAAAAAATTTTCTTTTTTCAGTAATAAATTAGCCATAGCTTACTATAACATTTTTACGTTATACACTTTTTAATGTTTTTAACTTTTTGACTCTCTTGTAATAACACTTAGCTTAAAACACACATGTTATATAGCTGTACAAAAATGTTTTCTTTATGTCCTTATTCTATAAGTTTTTTTCTATTAAAAAATTTTTAAACATACGTGTGCATGTGTCTTTGTAGTAGAATGATTTATAATCCTTTGGGTATACACCCAGTAATGGGATTGCTGGGTCAAATGGTATTTCTAGTTCTAGATCCTTGAGGAATCACCACACTGTCTTCCACAATGGTTGAACTAATTGACACTCCCACCAACAGTGTAAAAGTGTTCCTGTTTCTCCACATCCTCTCCAGCATCTGTTGTTTCCTGACTTTTTAATGATCGCCATTCTAACTGGCATGAGATGGTATCTCTTTGTGGTTTTGATTTGCATTTCTCTGATGACCGGTGATAATGAGCTTTTTTCCGTGTGTTTGTTGGCTGCATAAATATCTTCTTTTGAAAAGTGTCTGTTCATATCCTTCACCCACTTTTTGATGGGGTATGTTTATTGCAGCACTATTCACAATAGCAAAGACTTGGAACCAACTCAAATGCCCATCAATGTTAGACTTTGGATAAAGAAAATGTGGCACATATACATCATGGAATACTATGCAGCCATTAAAAAGAATGAGTTCATGTCCTTTGCAGGGACATGGATGAAGCTGGAAACCATCATTCTCAGCAAACTAACACAGGAACAGAAAACCAAACACCGCATGTTCTCACTTATAAGTGGGAGTTGCACAATGAGAACATATGGCCACAGGGAGGGGAACATCACACACCGGGCCTGTTGGGGGGTGGGGGCAAGGGGAGGGATAGCATTAGGAGAAATACCTAATGTAGATGACAGGTTGATGGGTGTAGGAAACCACCATGGCACATGTATTCCTATGTAACAAACCTGCATGTTCCGCACGTTTATCCCAGAACGTAAAGTATAATTTAAAAAAATAAAAAAGATAAAAAAGATTTTTAATCTGTTTTTTACTTTTTAAACTTTTGTTAAAAACTAAGACACAAACACACGTATTACCCTGGGCTTACACAGGTTCAGGATCATCAATATCACTGTCTTCCACCTTCACATCTTGTTGCACTGGAAGGTCTTCAGGGGCACAAACAGGCATGGAGCTGTCATCTCCTATGATAACAATGCCTTCTTCTGGAATCCCTCCTGAAGGACCTGCCTGAGGCTATTTTACCCAACTTTTTAAAAAATATAAGTAGGAGGATTACAGTCTAAAATAATTATTAAAAATATAGTAAATACATAAACTAGTGATTGTTATTATCAAGTATTACATACTTGATAATCATGTGTTATACTTTTATACAGTGGGCAACACAGTAGGTTTTTTACACCAGCATCACCACAAACACGCAATGCAGGAGGCAGAAGTTGCAGTGAGCCGAGATCACACCATTACATTCCAGCTTGGGCAACAAGAGTGAAATTCCGTCTCAAAAAAATAAATAAATAAAATGAAAACAGAAGAAGAACACAAATGCTTCTTTGAGTAGCTAGCTGACTCAGCCCCAGGAAATATGGGTACCGGGAATATAATCCCAAATAGAATTCTTTTGTGACTTAGCATGAGACAAGAGGCAGGAATTAAATCTGAAACAAAGAATATAAGGTATCTTCAGACTTCATCCCTTTGGTGTGGACAAGTTTTGATGTTAGTGTTGTTCTCTCTCATTTGAGTAGGAAGCCCAGATGTTCCTCCTCCTAAGATGTAGAAGATCTGTATTGGAAATACTAGTTGTTTTCTTACCATCACCACACTTCCTCAGAGAACTATCCACTCCTCTCTCCTCTTTCTGATAAAGTCTGATGATGTAGACTCCACTGAGTGGTAATGGGCACCCTGTCTTGCTCCTTCTACTCCTGGTCACAGTTGAATACGACAAGTTTAGACACTAGCCCAAGCTAAGACAATCAGATACTCTGTCCCTGAAATGAGGAATTAGGATTCAACAATATTTAGTTTGTCTCATTTCAGTGCTTACACTTTCGGGTGAGTTAGAGCTAAAGCTGGCCATCTATATTTCAACTTATGTCGCAGATACTCAGAAAGTTAATCTGGGGGAGAGGGTAGGAGGCCGAGGCAGGTGGATCACCTGAGGTCAGGAGTTTGAGACCAGCCTGGCCAACATGGCGAAAACTTGTCTCTACTAAAAATACAAAAAAATTAGTGTGGCGTGATGGTGGGCGCCTGTAGTTCCAGCTACTCAGGAGGCTGAGGCGGGAGAATTGCTTGAACCTGGGAGGCGGAGGTTGCGGTGAGCTGAGATCGCACCACTGCACTCCGGCATTGGAGACACAGTGAGACTCTGCCACAAACAAACAAACAAACAAGCAAACAAAATCCTATATACAAATGAAAAGGAACAAATTGAGGCTACACAGAGGATTATGTGTCAACCTTAAAATCACAATGTTGAATGACAGAAATAAAACACAAAGGAATTAGATACTATTATTCCATTTTAAAAGTTCTAAAATAAACAAAAGTAAATCATATTATTTAGAGATGCACAGACAGAGGATAAAATTGCAAAGAAAAGCCAGCAACTGATGCCTTAAAATTAGGATAATTGCTACTTCTGGGGTGAGAGAGGGAATATGACCACAAAGAGGCATGTGGTGGCCTTCTGGGTTATGACAATGTTCTTTTTCTTTTTCTTTTCTTTTTTTTTTTTTTTTTTGAGATGGAGTCTTGCTCTGTCACCCAGGCTGGAGTGCAGTGGCACAATCTCGGCTCACCACAAGCTCCATCTCCCGGGTTCACGCCATTCTCCTGTCTCAGCCTCCCGAGTAGCTGGGACTACAGGGGTCTGCCACCACGCCTGGCTAATTTTTTGTATTTTCAGTAGAGACGGGGTTTCACCGTGTTAACCAGGATGTTCTTGATCTCCTGACCTTGTGATCCGCCTGCCTCGGCCTCCCAAAGTGCTGGGATTACAGGCGTGAGCCACCGCCCCCAGCTGACAATGTTCTTTTTCTTGACCTGGTTGATAGTTTGATTAGTGTTCCCTTTAAAATTGGTCATTACACTCTACAGTTATGAATGGCACATAAATACGCTTACTGTATTCATATTCTATTTTTCAATTTTTTAAAAAGCTCTTGCCATTCCCAAAACAGGGTGCATTTCCCTTGCCTGGATTCTTTTCTTCATGTAAGCTGTTAAATATCTATTTGGAAAGAAAGAAAGGAAGAAGAAAGAGAGAAAGAAAGAAAGAAAGAGAAAGAGAGAGAAAGAGAGAAAGAAAGAAAGAAAAGAAAGAAAGAAAGGAAAAAGAAAGAAAGAAAGAAAGTTAGTTTACATTTGCCTTTTATTGCTGGGTGTCTCCACTTGGCCTCTTATGGCCCAATGCAGAAAGAAACATGCTGTAATAACATATTCTTTTTGAATTTTAATTTCTTTAGACTTAGGGGGTACAAGTGGTTTTGTTACATGGATATATTGTGTAGTGTTGAAAGCTAAGCTTTTAGTGTACCCATCACTGAAATAGTGAGCATTGTATCCAATAGGTTATTTTTCAACACTCAGTGTTCTCCCACCTTCCAACTTTTTTGAGTTTCCAATGTCTGTTATTCCACTCCGTATGTCCAGGTGTAGCTATTTTTCAGTTCTCACTTACAAGTGAGAATATACAGTATTTGATTTTTTGTTTCTGAGTTGTTTCACTTAGGGTAATGGCCTCCAGGTCCATCCATGTTGCTGCAAAAGGCATGACTTTACTCTTTTTCATGGTTGAGTAGTATCCCATGGTGTGTGTGTGTATATATATATATGTGTGTGTGTGTGTGTGTGTGTGTATCACATGTATATATCACATTTTCTTTATCTGATCATCCATCCAGTAATGTATTTTAATGATTATTAAGATTACTATTGACCAGGGCTCAAATCTCACTGCATACAATGAATAAATCTCAAAATAACAGTCGTTTGAATAATTTAGAAGTTTATTTCTCACAAGAAAGAAGTTCAGAGAGAGGCAATTGAGGGCTGTAGGGTGGTTCCATACATCTGTGAAGGTCATAGGCTCTTTCCAGCTTTCTGCACCTCTATCTCCGATTTTCAGATGTGATCATCAGACACAGAATTGCAAATGATGCCAAAATAAACTACAAATAAATATGCATTTACCACCATTATAATACGTGTTAGTACAAGACCTTCTGTGGGGGATCATAGACAGTGTCCAGATATGTTGTGTTTGAAATATTTATACACAGAGGGAAAGATTTTAACCTAGGTCGCTAAAGTAATGTGTAGTTAGCATGTCTTGTAGTTTCTCCTTCAGATATCAGATGTTTTTAGTAAGCTTTTGCCAAAGGCTGGATCAGAGGCAGGCCTGAAATCTCTGAGGAGTGCCTGAAGAGTCTATGTTTTGTGTTGTTGATTAAAGAGAGAGCCATATGCTTTCAATAACAGGTGTGCAGGTGGCAAAGCCTACATTCTGTTGTGCAAATTTAGTATCCTGACTTGTATACTAGCCCAGATGGGGGCTATCCTATTTGTGCACGGCAGGGTAGGTTTAAGGGGGAACTAATGTCTTTCAATCCAGTTTAAAATATCCATTTCAAGAACAGAGAGAAACAGACATAGCAGGGTATCTGTGCAAAGCCAAATTTTACTGAAAAAAAAGAGCTTTGAATTAATTCAAGCAGTTGAAGAAGAATTTGGTGGAAAACCTTGCCCAAAGGGTGAATGAGAGTTCTGGACTAGAAAAGCACAGGTGAAACAATTTGGCTGTTTCAACCATAAAATAATCTAAACAGAGCCTGGGTAGAAAAAGGATTCTTAGAAAGGTGGACGCACATGAATAAGCTGCAAAATATATTCTTTTTTTTTTTTAGATGGAGTCTTGCTCTGTCACCCAGGCTGGAGTGCGGTGGTGCAATCTCGGCTCACTACAACCTCTACCTCGTGGGTTCAAGCAATCCTCCTGCCTCAGCCTCCCAAGTAGCTGAAACTACAGGCATGTACCACCACGCCCAGCTAATTTTTGTGTTTTTAGTAGAGACAGTTTTCACTATATTACCCAGGCTGATCTCAAACTCCTGACCTCAAGTGATCCGCTCTCCTCAGCCTCCCAGAGGGCTGGGATTACAGGCATGAGCCACTGTGCCCGGCCTATATTCTGAGATTCTGAATATGTCAACTTGAGGCTAGAATTTTTCTGTTTTAATTTTGGAGACCATCTATGGTGAATATAGTTTTTGTTCAATTAACGCACATTAGCTAGATAGCAAATTTCACTCACGCTATAGTTGGATGTGTGGTATAAACTCCATTCTTTTTGTTTTATTTTGTTTTCTGATTTTTCCCCACACCTCCTCGCATTAATTTTGGCCTGGTTGGAAAAGGTAGAAGAAACAGGATTTTCTCTCTAGTTTGAAAATCTCTGTGAACTAGGTCTTTCAAGCTTGGCCATTGATAGGCTAAAGGGAAAGAAAACATTAGGAGACTCTTCTCTCAAGATAATAGCTTGGATTGCTTGGTTTATACTTGGCTGCATAATCCCTTTGAGTGTCAGAAGCTGAATATTAGTTCAGTATTACTTTTTTAAGTTCTTTTATAATATATTATACTATTTCTTATGGAGGCAAAGTGAAGGTTTATTTGGTAAGGCAAATGAAGAAATTGCATTGAACTTCTATAAAAACATAACCACCCTTTCTGCAAATCTGTCAGAAGGCTACAGTCACCTACATGATTGCAGCAGTTCTGTTGATGTTTGCACAATCTTGTATGTCTAGGAGACTGTAAGTCTCCCAAGAGCAGCAATCATGTTTGTTGCTTCCCACTGTACACTAAGCTCCTAGGATACTACTTAAAAGACTCAGTAACCAACTGTAAATATTTTTGAATGAAAAAATAAACCATGAAAAATCTGGAATCTACACCCAGATGGAACAGATTAATCCAGCAATGACTCATACTCATTTAAGTCCAAGAAACTTTGTCTTTCATAATGTTAAGAAGAAAGCTGATGTAGACCATTACAAGGAAGAATAGTAAACCAATGAATATTTAATTTGGGGCAGATGCATAATGTTCCAGTTTAAATGTGGGGTGGATTGCAATTTGAACTACATCTGAGGAGAAAATTAGGGCAAATAATTTGGCAAAAATTGGAAGCCATTAATAAAATGATATAGAACTTAATAAACACACACACACATACAACTAGGGAAATCAGAATAAGATCAGTAGATCATATCAGTTTTGCTATCAGTTTTGCCAGTGTTACCATTGGGGGAAACTGGACAAAGTATACAAGGAATCTCTATACTATTTCTTACAACTGCATGAGAATCTACAATCATCTCAATAAAATTCCAATAAAAGCAAAAAACAGATAAATAAATAAATATATTATATATAAAAATATAGACAAAATATAGAGATTTCTTGTATACTTTTCCCAATTTGATGTCCGCAATTTGATGACCCTGCAGTTTTGATGAGTACCATCACAATTATTATGTGTATATATAGTCACAATTATATATACATAATTATATATATATGGAAGAAAATTTCTGCAAACTATGCAGCTGACAAAGGTCTAATATCCAGCATCTATAAGAAGCAAACACATTTACAAGAAAAAAAGACAACCCCATTAAAAAGTGGGCAAAGGACATGAACAATCACTTTTCAAAAGAAGACGTATATGTGGCCAACAATCATATGAAAAAAAGTTCAGTATCACTGATCATTAGAGAAATGCAAATCAAAAACACAATGAGATATCATTTCACACTGGTCAGAATGGCTATTATTAAAAAGTTAAAAAATAACACATGTTGGCAAGGTTGTGGAGAAAAAGGAAAGCTTATATACTGTTGTGGGAGTGTAAATTGGTTTAACCATTGTGGAAGACAGTGTGTCAATTCCTCAAAGTCCTAGAGACAGAAATCCCATTTGACCCAGCAATCCCATTACTGTGTATATGCTCAAAGGAAGATAAATCATTCTATTATAAGGACACATGCATGTGTCAGTTCATTGCAGCACTATTCACAATAGCAAAGGCATGGAATCAATCTAAATATCCATCAATGATAGACTGGATAAAGAAAATGTGGTACCTATACACCATGGAATACTATGCAGCCATAAAAAAGAACAAGATCATGTCCTTTGCAGGGACATGTATGGAGTTGGAGGCCATTATCCTTAGCAAACTAATGCAAGAACAGAAAACCAAATACCACATGTTCTCACTTATAAGTGGGAGCTGAATGATGAGAACACATGTTCACATAGAGGGGAACAACACACTGGTGCCTTTTGGAGGGAGGAGGATAGGAGGAAGGAGAGGGTCAGGAAGAATAACTAATGGGTACTAGGCTTAATACCTGGGTGATGAAATAATCTGTACAACAAAACCCCATGACACAAGTTTACCTATGTAACAAACCTGCACATGTACCCCTGAACTTAAAAGTTTTTTTAAAAAAGAAAATCTGACACTCCTATTACCCTTGTTGCAGAAGTCACACCAGACGCATCTTCACCTCTTCCGTTACTGTTGGCCCTGACAATTAAACTTTATGCTTACTCTTGAGGTCTGTATCACACAGTTTTATGAAAGTGTGTTTTTTTCTTTTTAACCTTGCCAATATTTTATTTTTACTTTTTCTTATTAAAAGTTTTTATTAAAATAAAATATAGGATGGTCTGCTTATCCAAAGAGGACAGTTAAGATGGATTTCAGTTTATTTACAATTTTCGGTTAGGTCGATTGAGGTTGATATCTTGAAAGCATACTTTAAATCTTTTGATCATCTCTTGTTATATTATTAGCTTTCTTATCTCATAATCCTCCATATGTAGTTTTATGTGTGATCAGATTCATTCATTTTTAGAATATCATTTTGTTGCAATAAGAATGTTAATTATAACATGAAACATTTTTTGATCTGATTGCATAACAAAATCAATGTTTTCATTTGTCCATGTTATGTTTTAAGGTTGCCCTTATGTGTATTTAACTTTTATACATTGTCAGCAATGTTATAGCTGTAATTTTATTTTATTTTCTTATTTCATTGTATATATTTATTGCATACATTGTGATGTTCTGATATATGTATACATTTGTGGAATGATTAACTCATAGCTATAATTTTAAATTCTACATTTTTACTTAGCATTATACCATGAATATTTTTCCATTTTTATTTCACACATTCATTCATTCATCTTTTATTCACTCAATTAACATTTTAAAGTTATTAGTAAGTGCTTGAGGGTAGATTTAAGGGGGAACTAGTGTCTTTCAACCCAGTTTAAAATATCCATTTTAAGTCTGGGCATGGTGGCTCACACCTGTAATTTTAGCCCTTTGGGAGGCCAAAGTAGGAGGCTCACTGGAGCCCAAGAGTTCAAGACCAGCCTGGACAACATGGTGGAACCCTCTTTCTGCAAAAAGAAATGCAAAAATTAGCCAGGCATGGTGGTGTGCGCCAGTAGTCCTAGCTACTTGGGAGGCTGAGGTGGGAGGATCACCTGAGCCCAGGAGGCGGAGGTTGCAGTGAGCTGAGATTGTGCCACTGCTCTCCTATCTAACCTGGGTGACAGAGGAAGATCCTGCCTCAAAAAAAAAAAAAAAAAAAAGAATCCATTTCAAGAATGGAGAAAAACTAAAAGTGAAGATTACTTAGTAGTCAGTAATATTGCTCCTTGGTTAGAGATGTAAGCAAAGTTTATAATAAACTCACTCAAAATACCTTTGACAAGTCATCCCAATACTCATTTAGTCCTTATTGATTCATGCAGACACCCATGGTAAAATGACGGATAGGAATACATCTTCCTGTTCTTATTTTTTTGTGGATGAAATCTTAACAGAACCATTGCCAAACCTGTCATTCAATGTTCCTCCAAGTGTTCAGTAAGCTAATATATGCTGAAAACTGTCAAAGTGATTCCAAACATTAAGGGAATCTGCGCGCCTCTTAGTAGTAGGATTTATATGCGCCAATGGACCAGGCTGGTCCCATCAGGAAGCTGGGCAAGAATTAGGAGGAGCACATTCTTGCTATCTGAATGAAAGATATCTTGTTCACTGATATTCCAAAAGCTGACCCTCTAATGACAGTAAAAATCAACCCAGCCAGAGCCTTTGCTTCTACTGGAATTCCTCTACCCTGAAGCTAGAGAAGAATATAAAGAAGAATCAAAAATTAGGATAAGGAAGAATTTTCTGAAATATTGAGCATTCTGTAAATGGGCGATGTTAAAGTACAGAAGAACATCATGCATTCAGAATGTTTGTATTTGCTCTCTCCCTTTGCCTCATTTAAGGAAAAGATGAGTTGTCACCAGAAGACACATTCTTAGACACTCCCAGTTTCAGAAAGAAAAGCAATGTTTCTCTTTGAGGACATGGCCTTAAACGACTCTATCGTTGCTGACCTGAAGCTGGTCAAGTCTATGTTATCAGGGCCAAGCACAGCGGTGATGGGGAGGATTTGGGGTCCTATCAGTCCATCTGAGAAGGAAGAGGCTTGCAAGGCAGGTGAATCAGATGAGGAACAGGCTACTGTTCCGTGACTGCTGAGAAAGAGATTGGCTGAGAGTTGGGGTTAAGCTTCCTGGGGAGAGATGAGCAGATGTGCAATCTGCTGCAGAGTTCTGATGAAAATGCTTTCACACAAGATTCCACCTCATGAGCAGAATCTCAGTGAAAGCCTTGACCCTTTTATTCAGTTCTCTTTCCAGCTGTGTGATAGCCTTTTCCTCCTTCTCAAGAAGACACACAGAAGACTTTAACCTCTTTCCTACCTGGCTCCTTGGCTCAGTTTTCTTGGGAAGTGAGCCTAGCCTTACTTGGATGTGAATTCTGCAGTCCCCTGAGGGGTGCAGAATTCTGTTCAGGTTCTGGTTGTGAAAAGAAGTTATATGTCTTTTGTAAAGAGGGGCATTCCTGAGAAGCCTTGTCTACTCTGCAAGATGCTATGGGGCTGACCACATTCCTAGGCAATTTTTCGATGCTTTACATGGTGAAAGAAGCAAGTAAGGAAGTTAGTATACAAGACTTTTGAAGTCTGGGCTTTGGAAAAAAGGATTCAATTGACTTGGATTTTTGTTTCAAAGGCTGGCAGTTGTTAAAGGGATTCTAATAGCTTTGTGAACTACCCTCTCTTGTTTCTCTGAGATTGAAGACCACAGATTTGTTTCTAAAATAAAATCCATGGAATGCTCATATTCATGAGTGCTTTCTGAGTGGGAATTCTCATGTATTTCTTTCTCAATCCATGACATGGGCTTACTGGGAAACATGAATGATGCCAAAAAACTACATATATATATATATATATATATATATATATATATATATATATATATATATATACTCTCATATGCATTTTGAGTTTCAGTGTATATTTTCTTCAGGTAAGGGCTGAGACACCTAAGTTATAAAAGCAATATTTTGCCAAGAGCTCATCTGAGCGACCTTTGCAGCTGGGCACTTGTTCTCCTTGTGGAATTTTTTTGGTGTATAATTTTTCTTGCCAGGAGCTGTGAGTTTAGATGTAGCAGTATTAACCTTCCCTAGGGGACTATCTTTATGATCAAGGGGATCTTTTAGATCTGTTATGAAAGACCTGACTATCTGGGGCTGCCACAACAACCAAACAAGTCCTGTATTCACTAACACAGTGTAAGCAAGTTCTGTTGGATTTAAAATAAATACTCAATCAAACAAACAAACAACCTATAAAGGACAGGTTTAAGCTGAAAGGGGAAGTCTTGGGCCAAGGTGTCCAGTGGAGATCTCTGATGAAACTGGTGCTTTAGCTAATAGACCTGATTAAAAGCTATAATGTAATAAACCTCAAGGTAAAGGTAAGTTACAGCCTGGAGTGAGGTAGAGGCATGGGCAGCTGATCCGGCTAATCTCTCTGTCAGGGCCAGCTACATTAAAAATTTGGATCATGCAAATAGGCATTTTTTTCCTTCTCATTGAAACCCTCATTCCCTTCCCCTCTACTCCACAGGAGCATGAAGTGGTTTATTTTGACTTTCTTTACAGACTCAAGGTTTTGTAGTGAACATTTATTGATCTTGCTTCCAACAAAATGTCTTTCATTTTTGTTAAACAATATACCTAAAATCTGTGATGTCCCAAGTAATAAATTTGTACTTTACATCTTTACAATATGCTAAACATGCAGTTAAGAGTGAGACCAACTTCTCAAGCTCCATTAGAGGCTTCATGAATTGCTTGAATTAAACTAGAAGCCAAATTCAGACATTAAAACAAAACAAATCCTCAGAAAATTCACATCTAGGATTCTCAAATCTTCACGAGGCTGAAATGGTTATTTGTCATATTTTTTTCTGATTATAAGAGCATTATGTCTTTATTGTAAATAATTTAGAAATGTAGAAAAGGATAAAAAAGAAAGTAAAATTCAATCCGAATCCATTTACAATCACACCAAAAAGAATAAAATACTTAGGAATAAATTTAACAAAAGAAGTATAAGATGTATGTACTGAAAGCTACAAAACATTGTGAAATAAATTAATGGAGATCTAACTAAATTAAAAAGACACCCCCTGTTCATGGGAAATAGTAATACCCCCCATGTTGATTTACAGATTCAGTGTAATCTGTGACAGAATACAAGCTGCCTTTTGGAGGGCAGAAACTAGAAATTCAAGAGACCTAGAATAGCCAAAGCCATCTTGAAAAAGAAAGAAGTTAAAGAGCTCACATTTTCTAGTTTCAAGACTTGCTACAAAGCTACAATAATCAAGACAGTGAAGTGCTGGTATAAGGCTGGACCTATAGATCAATGGAATAGAATTGAGAGTACAGAATTATAAACCCTTACATTTATGTTCAACTAATTTTCAACAAGGCTCCCAAGACCATTCAATGGAGAAAGAACAGTCTTTTTAACTATGGGGCTTAGATGACCAAAGAGCCACATGAAAAGAATACAATGGGACCTCTGATGCAAATAATGTGCAAAAATTAAGTCAAAATGGATCACAGACCTAATTATAAGAGCTAAAACTCTAAAACTCCTTGAAGAAAACATAGGTCATAAATCTTCATGACCTTCGTTAGGCAATAGATTCTTAGATATGACACTCAAACCACAAGCAACAAAAGAAATACAACTGGACTTAATAAAACTTAAAAACGTTTGCATGTCAAAGGACACTATCAAGAAAGTGAAGAGACAACTCACAAAATAGAAGAAAGTACTTGCAAATCGTATATCTGATAAGAGATGTGAATCTAGAATATATAAAGAACTCTTACAACTCTATAATAAAAAGACAAATTACCTAATTGAAAAATAGGCAAAGGATCTGAATAGACATTTGTCCTAAGAAGATATACAAATAGCTAATAAACATATGAAAAAGAGCTCATTAGTTATCAGGGAAATGTAAATCAAAACCACAATGAGATGCCACTTCATATCCACTAGGATGACTAAAGTCAAAATGACAATAACAGATGTTGGAAAGGATATGGAGAAATTGGAATCCTAATACACTACTGGTAGGATTGTAAAATAGTGTAGTGACTTTCGAACACAGGCAGTTCCTTAAACTCCTTAAACTTAACATAGTTCATTAAACTTAACATAGAGTTATTATATGATTCAGCAATTCCACTCCTGGGTATACCCAAGAAAATTGAAAGCATATGTCCACGTAAAAACTTGTACATGAATGTTCATAGCAGCATTATTTATAATGGTCCAAAAGTGGAATAGCAGAAATATCTGTCAGCTGATGAATAGACAAACAAAATGTGGTATATCAGGTAATCAGATGTTATTTTACAACAGAAAAGACCGAAATTCTGCAACGTAGATTAACCTTGAAAACATTATGCTACCAGAAAGAAGCCAGTCACAAAAGGTCATATGTTGTATGATTTTATCTATGTGAAATGCCAGAATAGGCAAATTATAAAGATGGAAAGTAGATTAGTGATTGCTGGGGGCTAGGTTTAGGAAGGAATGGGGAATTTCTGATAAGGGATACAGAGTTTGTTTTGCGTTGATGAAAATTAGATATTGTTGATGGTGTGCAACTCTGTAAATACACTAAAAACACTGAATTTTATCCTTAAAAAGGTGAATTTTCTGGTATGTGCATTTTTTCCACAAGGGAAAAAGCACATAACTTTTAATATTTACATGCATTGGGGTCAAAGAAAAGTTGGTTAGAATTGAAGAGGTCAGATGCAGGGGCTTATGTACTCTAAAATAAGGGAAAGGGCTTGGACTTAAGGGAGGCCATTGTTTGAGATGATCAAACCAGAATGGTGTTTCTGGAGTGAGGTGCCATATAATCTGTCTTTAAAATTCGCCAGTTTTCCAAAAAACAGGAGATTCACAGCAACCAATCAGAACGCAGTGCCTAGGCGAGCATAAGGAACTCCCTTCTGTGTTATTGCTATAAGGAAATTAACTTTGCAATGATTCTAGAAAAAGGCAATTATATGTGTATACTAAATTTTTTGTAATTTTGTTCATTTTCATCAGGCTTCAATTGTTCAGGAAGTATGAAACATATAGGTGAATGGAAAATAGGAACCATTTTATGAAATTCTTTATGCATGCTCATATTGGTGTTGACTGTATATTCAAGGACAACGGTAGCCCTTCCCTCACTGGTATAAGGCAGACTACTTCCTCAAAGGGCAACCCATACCTTACTTTTAAGCAGATAAAACCCAAAACAGAGTAGATAACTTTTTCTGTATCTGTTGAGTCTCAATTGCCTGTAGCCCAAAATAATCCTTATGTCAATGCGGCATAATTTGGGGGTGGGCCAACCCCAAGCAAGCTTAGATAGGCTATGGAAACAATGTACCTTAAACAAATAGACAACAGTTTTACTAACATCACACAAGTTTGATGATTATTATAAATATACTCTGAAAAGGTATTGCCAATATCAGCATTGGCTACAAGGTTGCTTTCCTCAAGCAGTGATGATATGTGAATTATATCACAAAAAAGCTGTTATTTAAAAAGACAAATGAGTTAATCGTCACTTTGAAGTAAAGGTGCTACTTGTAAAACAAACCAACAAACCGCAACTCAATCTTATACCATATTACGTAGCGCTAACTGTCCTTAACAATACACACATCCAGAACTTTTTCATACACACACACACACACACACACACACACACACAGATATCATTTCCACAAAATTGTGATCAAACTGCATTCCAAGGCTTTTCTTCAGAGGAGAGCATAGCCTTTCCCCCAGGGATACCAAATACTGTTTCTGGAGAAAGCACAGTTTCTCCAGAAGGTGAGAAGTGTACCACTGGGGATACTCAGGACGATTTTAACTAACACTTAAACATGTTTAATTTTGATAGTTATCTACTTATGTTAATGTGTATTGAAAAAATATAGTTAGCACCTCAAATTCATGGTGGCATAGATATATCATCACTTAGGACAAAGATAATGTGGGATTCCATAGTTTAAAAACCAAGTCCATTTAAATAAAAATATTAAGCACATGATAGTAGAGCTGGACACAGGCAGGGCAAAAACCCTGAAGTGGTACTGAAATAACTACAGTTTGAAAAACACTGTTACAAAATGCATTCTTGAATCACGGCAAAGGATTTTGTTTCATGGTTACACCATTGCTCCATCTCTACTGATGGGCTACTGGGTTGTTCATGGTTCAGAATTGTCCCTCTGGTGAGTCTCTCCATAGCCCAGATGGAGTCCTCCTGGTCATGGCTGGCCAGGGGTGGTCACTGAAGATGAGGAAGTAGCCAGCTAAAGCTTTTCTAGTGATCCTCTAAGGGATCACTTACATAAGTTCAGAAAGTACATTTACCTGACGGAAGTACTCGAGGATATTTAAAAGCTACCTATTCTCACAGTGATGTAAGAGACAAGAGACCAGGAGCCATGGTGGGTTAAACCACTTCCTTTCCCCTCTGTTCTCCTCGCCCCCATGCTCTGCTGTCTCCAGGATTCATAACACATGGATCCTGGAACAGAGACAAGGAGGACTTGGGGCTCTTCCCACAGGACACCTCTTGCCCTCCTGGCAACCACTTCCTTGCATCTCCTGCCCATGCTCTTCCAAACACACAGGCTCAGAACAGCAAACCCACTAGGAAAAACCAGCTCTGAGAAGGACAAAATGCCTGATCTGTGTTTGAAACGCAACACCATGTATTTAGAAATAACCTGTTTTCAGGAAATTCAGAACAATCTTCTTAAAGTTATGCTGGAGCTAGCCAATTTCTCTTTTAGGGTCACTTGTTTGTATTAATAGAAATCCATCTGCATAAAGTGACAGTCTACGTTCCTGTTCCCCCGTCTGTCACCAGATGGAGACTTGGTCAATGTGGGATGCTGTCTTTCACGCAGATGCCAGCATATATAAAAAGACAAGTTATTGGTGGAAATTATAAGAGATGGAGATTAGGACCATTCTAAAACAGACTTGGATCTCTGCTTTTGACACAGGAAATGTTGTTTACGCCATTTCAGTGGGATTGCCTAAAATATACCAGTTCCACGCGAAAGATAATTACTTACACTACTTACTAACAGATAATGCATTCTTCTGAGTACGTTTAAAAAAAAATAAAAAGGAAATTCTTTCAGTTAACACTGATATATCCTTTTCACTCACCTTTCCTTGACTATGGAGCCTTTTTAAAAAGTGAGCGGGAGAGGTCAGGTCCTTCCAGGAGCATGTTGACTGGAATGCAGCTCTTCCCTTTTTTCTCTCCACTCCCAACCCGGGGCTCTCGGCTCTGCTAAGTCAAACAACTACTGACACCCATGGACAGCTGCATACAAATGGGGCTTGAAGCTCGGGTTAGAGCCCTGGCGGAGAAAGCAAAGAGTATGGTGTACAGATTTCAACATGACCTAGAAGAGCACTTGGAGAACAGCATTAGCCCCACAGGCTGAGGACCTAAAAGTGGCTGATCTTGGGAAGACTGTGGAATGTCCTTCCTGTTGCATTTTTATATCATAGCCAGAAGTCACCCTGATGTTTGCTTCCTGCATGATCCTGCCCTACAACCAGACCAATCCTGGGCACCTGAGCACAGCCAATGTGCAGTCCCTCTGTTTACCCAGGCCATTGCCCGGCAGCTGCAGGAGTTTCCTAGGTCATTTTCCAAACTCTTCCACTCTACAGAATTATAGCTCTCTTGTCTAGAGCCCTTGTTACCCGCTCTGGAATCCTGACAGCTCCTCATTTCCTCTATCCCAAACCGTGGCTGGCGCACAGGGTTGGTTAGGATTACCTTTGTCCATAGAAGCCCGATTACACCAGCTTAGCCAAGCAGAAGGCCATTTTTCTCATATAACAGGAGCTCCAGAGAGAGCATCTGTTTATGACTTCGGAAGATGCCTTAGGAGTTCATCAAGAACCGAGGCTTTTCCTAGTTTCTTGTTCTGCCATCTCATTGTGTGATTTTCATCTTTATGGTTACAAGATGACTTTTCCACTCCCAGGCCTCAAATCTATTTCCAGGCAGGTTAAAATACACAGGGCAATGGGCACAAGCTGGCTAATGCTGTCCCTTTTTATTTCATCAAGAAATAATAATTTTTAGAAAGTGTCACCCAAAAAAACCTTTGCTTTTACCCTGGTGACCAATACTAGGTAACATGGCCACCTCTAAAATCGAGAGTCTAAGGAAGTGTTTTTACCTGGGCACTTTGTAGCCCCAAACAAAATTTGGATTCTGTTACAGGGAAGAAGGGAAAATAGATATTGGGTAATGCTGCAACTAGCTGAGGAGCATGTTGGACTCCTTGAAACGACGATGCTCCCATATGCTTGACTTCCTGTGTCATTCCACCTGGCAGCTCCTAGGTGCACTGCTCTTTAGGACTTTCTTGATATTTTGGGTAGCTGGAATACTTCATCCATCTTAACGCTACTGTTGACCTATCTGCTGTAACCCTCAGCAGTCAACCCCATAGCTAGTGAAGTTCTGTGACATTTACTTTTTTTTCCCCAAACAGCTCATTTCAGTCTCATCAAAGCTCATATCTTATGGCCAGGACTGTATGAGTTATGACAATATGGGATCTCAAACAGGGTGGAAAGCAATGAGGATTGCAAGAATTAAGGAAAGAGTTTAATTCATCAAGGTGAGGCAGACACACTGGGAATTAGAATATGAGTGTCAAGTAAAAGTCCCTATCTCTCCTTAGCCCTCCACTCTAACCCCAGAGGCAATTTGTTTATTTGTTTCTGGTATATCTTGCCAGAAACTTTCCAACCCTACACAAAATATATGGTAGAATTTTTATAAGTGTGACACAAATGAGAGTATACTAAACATCTGTTCAGTAACTTGATATTTTTCAGTACATAGAGATATACCTGATTCTGCTTTGTGTTACATTATATAAATGTATCAACAGTTCTTAAACTATTCCCCTACTGAGGGGCATTTAACTTGTTTTCAGCTGTTTATCATTACACATAATGCTGCAGGGAACTGCTTTCTACAATAGACTTTAATCAACTATGTGAGTGTATGTGTTGGACGATTCCCCACAAATGAAATAGAAATTCATATTTATTGAAAAGAATGAAATTGGAATTATCCCAGAAAATCTTGGTTGCATAGGCAAAATAATTTAAACTATTTTATGTGGACTTTTCTGGGACTTTTAATAAAAAATTGTAAGATTTCTTAGTATTACACTTATGCAAACTGCAGTGTGTAACTGGCATGGAGATGTGAATAATTCAAAAGAGAAAACAAAACAATTTTGCCTTAAAATAGCAGAATTCTAGACGAAGTGTTGTAGATTTTCTTTCTAGGTTTTCTACACTGGAGGATGCCATCCTATTAGGATATTTGGGGGAAAATATTATTTTAATATTAAAAGAAACCTATATATATGATGGTATATAACTTGAAATTTACATACATTTTTAGATAAACAGGAGCTTTTGAAGAAATTTTATTCTTGCTATCGACTGGTCTATGACCCTGATCTCTTATACATTTATCTCTGCAATTTGTGGTATGTCTGTGTCAAGTTTTCACTGGATGAACACAGAAATTTTTCCTTCCACTCCACGTTTGTAAGAATGTGTGTCTGTGTGTGTGCACAGGCAGATTCAAAAGAACACTACAAAGGCAATTATATTGAAGTGCCAAACAGAGGGCTTGTGGAATCGGTAATGTTAACTCTTGTTAGAGTAATGTATTGCTCTGGGTTGAAGTTAATAAATGTTAAAGTCTAGGATAATACAATTAGATGTAAGCTTCTGAAGTTGTGGTTTGCTTGCCTCTGACTGATCTTAGGTCAACACAGAGACTAGACTGTAGGATTTTGAAAATATATATATATATTTTTAAAGAATTTAAAAGAAATGATGAACAAAACTTTCTGTCCATATCAAAAGGACTTTCATGATGTCTCCAAGCATTTGTTGAAACCAGAAATATAGCATTTCATAGGATATTTCCTAAAGCTTTAAATTTTTCTGTCATGCTCAAGGCCTGAGGAATTATAGCGATTTCTTTTACCTGTCCTGGTGTTATGTAAAAAGTAAGCCCTTTGCCTTGTTTGTCTTTGTTCCATGTCTCTTTTTATAAAGATGAATGATGACCTTGTGACTTTTGAACATCAGTGATGGGTTATTTCAGGACTTTTTCCCCCAATAGAGCTGCCTTCTTTTTTTTTTTTTAACCTTTTATCTATTTTGGAGTTAAGCATTGGCAGCATCACCCTAGCCGTCTTACTTTGGGAATGACTAAGAAAAAAAAATCAACTTCTTAAAAGGATTATCTTTTTCATTCTTGTTTTTCTTTTATACTTAAACCTCTTCATACTTCCCCCAGCTTTTTGTTTCTATTTGCATCGAAAATCTGTTTGACTTGGTGGCCAGTTGACATGCATTCCATTTCTGTTTCCAGAGTCATAGGCATCGTCAACATCATTTTCACAAATGGGGACACTGAGGCACCGAAAGCAATGAGGGGTTTTGCAGTGTCCTCAACGTGGTTTTTGACAGAAATGAAATCAGATGCATAGCTTTTATTTCCAACTATGCTCTTCCCCTTGTTTCATAACTGGCTCCTTCTGAAGTCTCTGGTCCTTCAAGTGATGGGTAACCAGCTGGTGACGCAGAAGTGGCTGTTGTATTCAGCCATCGACACACAGGAAGAGCTAGCTGAACGCAGAGGTGACCTTCACAGCAGCTCCCTATTCTTGGGGGAGGAGATGACCAGCCTCTTCAGTGATGCTAGCCAACCATCCAGCCTCACTCAACCAGACTCTGTTCTTCTGTTCTTTCATTACATCTAGACCTTGTAGTACTGAATTAAAGGAAGCCTGAGCCTCAGACGGAGAGTTGGGAAGACCTGGACTTTAGTCCAGTTCAATTAGCATAAGATTTGGGGCACCCTCTTAACCTCTCAGTTTTCTACTTTGTAAAATAAGAGCTTGATCTTTTATTTTTAAGTTCTCTTCCAGGCCTGTCGAGAGAATACAATGTCTGCCTATATTCTCTGATTCTTATGAGCATAGGAAATGCCAAAGAATTATGAAAAAAATAATTCTAAGAAATATCAATGTTCTTTTTGTCTTCTAATTTTTGTATCATTTGCTAATTATAGTAAAGACAATTGTTTTATCAGGTTTTTTTTTTAAAAAAATATGTAAGCAATTCATACTACACTTAATGATGGGTTGTGTTCTAATTGGATTAGAAGGAAAAAAGCTATCCTTCATTTGGTTCATTAAAAATACTTAGCAATGAGTACGTTTAAGTTACAGTGATAGACCCCATTGGTAACACAAAGATGAGTAACATACAACCTCTATCCTCAGAAAATATAGAGTATACAGGTGTATGGCCAACTCTAACAAGAAGCGTGAAACGAGTACAATGAGTTAATCTGAAAACTCAGAGAGAGAGAAATTGCTTTCAGTAGGAAGATCTGGGAAGGCTTTATGGAGAAGTTCAGCTCCTGCTACATAGCTAGTATCCAGTAAGTTTTTGTTGCAGGTTAAATGGGGCTGCACGTGAACCAGGTCATCCAGGACTAGTAGGAATTAGTCCGCTTGAGTTGAGACAGTTGGAGATGAAGGCAGAGAGAATTGTGTGGACAAAGGTGAGGCATTTTGGACATGTACAGAAAAGAGTCAATGGCTAGCCAAATCTGACAGCCCCAGGGGACCTCTCTCATTCAGCTGTGGCCATTTGGCCTCTGCTTCCAGCTTCATGACGGTCACTTGGACCCTGCATGTAGTGTGTGTGTGTGTGTGTGTTTGTGTGCACTCGTGTGTGTGTCTCAGATCTGACATTCAGGTTAAGCCTTGATTGTTAACCAGGTCTTTTCTTGTTTCTGAGCCTCACTGCAGTTCTAATCTCTAGATTTCTGTGCCATTTTCTGGACCAGAGCCCGCATTTAGTAAGCAGCCTGCACTCTAATTTCTCTCAGATATAAAAGTCCTGCCTCATTCTTGGTCTTTCATCACTTTAAAGACATCGATTCACTGTCTTCTAGCTGCTGAGGCTTCTGCTGACACATTCACAGCAGAATCATTGTTCCCCTGTATGTAATGTGTCATCTTTTTCTAGCAGCTTTCAAGATGTTTTTGTTTTAATCTTTGGTTTTCAGCAGTTTGATTATGGTGTGTCTGGTGTGGTTTTCTTTGTGTTTATTGTTTATCATCTTTGGGATTCATGGAGCCGCTTTAGTCTACAAATTTATGTCCTTCTCCAATAGTGGAAGTTTTTGATGCCAATCTGTTTTATTTTCTTTCTGAAATTCCAATGACATATATGTTAGGCCTTTTGATATTGTTCCATGGGTCGTTAAGTTTCTATTTTTACTTTATTTTTTTTCCTTTTTTTTTTTTTTTTTTTTTGAGACAGAGTCTCGCTCTGTTGCCTAGGCTGGAGTACAATGGCATGATCCTGGCTCACTGCAACCTCTACCTTCCAGGTTCAAGCGATTCTCCTGCCTCAGCCTCCTGAGTAGCTGGGATTACAGGCATGCGCCACCACGCCCAGGTAATTTTTGTATTTTTAGTAGAGACGGAGTTTCACCATGTTGGCCAGGCTGGTCTCGAACTCCTGACCTCAGGTGATCTGCCCAACTCGGCTTCCCAAAGTGTTGGGATTACAGGCATGAGCCACCATGCCCAGCCTCTCTGTTCTTTAGACTGGATAATTTTTTATTGATCTATCTTCAAGTTCATAGACTTTTCTTTCTGTCACTTCTACTCTGTTGTCGAACTTACCCAATGACTTTTAAAGTTTCAGATATTGTATTTTTCAGTTTTGCAATTTTCAATTGGTTTATTTTATAGTTTCTATTTCTCTACAGAGAATGTCTTTTTTTTTTTTTTAAGTATTTTCACCTTAGCCTCATGGATCGTAGTTAAAATAGCTGTTTTCAAATCTCTCCTTCAGAATTTCAACCCCTGGGACATCTCAGTGTGTCATATGTTGCTTCTTTTCCTTTGAGAATTTGTCACAGTTTTTCAGTTCAATGTATGTTTCTGCAATTTTGGATTGTACCTTGGACATTTTGTATATTATGTGTTGTGCTATTGTATTAAACAAATGGAAAATGTTGACTTTTTATTTGTTTGATATCAGGCAACCTGGTCAGATTCAGACTGAAAGTTCTGTTTTGCTTCCTGTGGTGGTTCTAATCTCAGGTTAGCTTTTAAAACCTTTGGTATGCTGCTTTGAGTGTGTCCCATGCACATGCCACTTAGAAATTAATCTGTGATGTGGGCTGCATTTTAATATCAGTGCAGCTCTCACAGCCTCTGCTGTGCTGGTTTGTGTCTGATCCATGCATGCACTTGTGTGGGTTCATAAACAGGATTATGGGATCCCCTTCACTAACTCTCTCCTCTCCACACTTCTGGCCCCTTTTCCCAGGTCTTTCATCCAGAATGTTGAGGCTATCATCTAAGTTTCAGCACTCAGCCCAGCTGATCCTTCCCAGCTCTGTGTCTGGGGCTGCCCTCAGGGAAAAGACATGAGAAAAGGATAAAAACGCACTTGAGAAATTCATTCTTTTGCAGGTCGCCTCTCCAAGTTTCAACCTCCTTCCCCAATCTGCCTGCCTGCTTTGGCTTAATTTTCAGGGTCCCTGGGGAGCTGGTTTCTGTATTTTGCCCAGAGTTTTTAGTTATAATCAGTGGGAGAGGTCAACTGTGGTGGACTTGCCCTGTTATGCCAGAAACAAAGTCTAAGTTCATGTAGAAAGTACATTTTCAAGGAGCTTGGAAAGGAAAAGGAAGAAGAGGGCAGGATGCGGTGTGGCTAAGGAGGCAAGGTGGAGACAAAGATGTCTTAGAAAGAGCTGGCGGTCTTGCTTGAAGGCCAGGAGCAGAGACCCAGAGGAGAAGTTAAATAATAACCATCTGCCTCAGTCAGAGAGGAAATGATGCGGGAGAGGACTCTGAAAATTAGGTCAAATCAGGCAAATTGTGGAGGGAAGTTGAAACATGGAGTAGTGACCTGCAAGGGAATGAATTTCCCAGGTGTCTTTTTTTCTTTCTTTCTTTCTTCATGGCTTTGCCCTGCAGGTGGCTTTAAGCACAGAGCTGGGAAAGTGAGTCCAAGATGCAGGCTGCTACAACTCAGATAATAACCATCTTTCTGACCTGAAGAACTAGGTAAAGGGGCACTTGGGGGCCAGAGAGTATGGAATGGAGAAACCTATGGAAGGAGATCCCATAATTTTGTTTGTGAATTCACACAGGTGCATGCATGGATCACATTGCAGACTCAAGAAGGAAGAGATGGGATTCAGGACATGGTGGGTGTGGCTTAGAGGAGAGAAGGGATACTTTCTTCTCTGAGATGGAGGGAGGGAGGGGAAAATGAGGTTAATCCCCAGAGCTTTGGGGGTGAACAGAAAGGAAGCTGAGTTGGCTGATATCTAACATCCTACTAAGATCACCCGCCAAGAGTAAGAGGGGGCTGGGTTGGGGTCCAGGACTTACGAAGCCATCTTTAGCTAATCAAATCCTTGTGAAGTTTAAATGGGCTTCAATCCAGTTGCAGTGCTAGTATCGTTTCATCTGTGACTGAGGCAGGTTATCCTATGTACCTTTTAAACCAGCACCATTCCGCCAGGAGCTAAACGTCAGTGCAGAACTCATCAGAAGAGAACTAGGTCTAAACTTGAGTAACATGTGCATTGCATTGTCCCTCCATTTCCAGAGTTGAAAATGGCTTTGGGGAAAAAAATCATACAATTATAATATGTGGACCACAGAAGAAAGAAGAAAAGTTAGCAATGTTCTGGGAATGGTGCCCAGCTCTTTTATGACTCTGAGTAGTAAAGTTACAGCTTGCCACATGCAAACTTGTTGGCAGAATGCAAACTGAAGCAATGCTCAGTCAAGGCCTCTCACTCATCTATTTCATTTGTTGCCAGCATCACCATTATTAATGAAGAGCGACTGAGCCTCTTGGCAGGTTTGAGTTAGTTCTGATGTAATTGTCCATTATCTCTCTTGTAATCACTTCCATGCAGTTCAAATTCCTCCCCTCTATTTCCTGAAATCTGACTCCCAGCACTTCAGTTCTGGGTGCACCAAAATGCCAAGTCACTTCAGATCGGATTTCTTCTGACTCTCTGAGTACTCCACTCTGTGCCTCTCCCACTTGCTGAGAAAAATCACTTAGAGACTCAATGGTGATTCCATTTCTATTAACCAAGGTGCAGTTTCAACATTTTCCTCTAGGCAAAGGTACAAATGACACATTTTTTCCACGTGTGGTTTGCGTGTGTGTGTGTGTGTGTGTGTAAGTGCTCTAAGACTGTTTTTTATTAAAACAAAGCAAGAGCTACTTCCTGTGAGAATTGATGTTTTGTTGTTCAAGGATGGGTTTTGTGTTTCTATGTTAAAATCCCTTGGCCTGGAGTCAGGATTGGTGGTGGTGGTAACTGACTGAAGATTCACCCCAGAGTGTCAGCTATAGTGATCTCAACTGAAGATGAGGATAAGGAAAAGAGAATAATTTATTAGAGGATGGAAATGACTTGGAGATCAACTACCAACCACAAACTACTGAGTTGATTAGTTTAAAATTATCGTACTGAGCGATGATCTCCTCTTGACTTTAGTGAGGATTTAATAGACGTTCGAGTCACCCAGGTAATCTTGATTTTTTTTAAAAGTGAATTCCAGTGTCGTATGATCATAGGACACTATTCTCATTCATGAGTTTTTGTTTCATAAGTAAGAATCTCATGGATGGGTTTATGAGCTCAAGAAGGAAGCTAAGCTGTAGACTCCTAGATATTTAAGGCTGAAAAAAGTAGGTTGAAATCCTCTTGTCCAACTCTTTTATTTTATAACCACAAATGGAAACACAAGAGACATTAAGCAACTTGCCAAAGGTCATACAGCTGGTTACTGATACAGCTGCAACTCAGATGCATATGTGTTTGCTCCCTGTGTATGTGCTTTCCATCCAACGTACCTTCAAGATTCACACTTGTCTTGCTGCCTTTGCTTTTTCTCTTTCAGTTGAAGGGTTGGAGGCAGTGGGACGTGGGAAGAAAGAGAATATTCACAGAGAGAAAGTCCTCTGAAAAGCAGTTGATTTCTCTGAAGGAAATGGCTCAAAGATGTTGATGCGAACTTGTTGTAAGATTTCCATTCACTGAAGAGGAAGTCCGTGATCCTCACTCCCAAGAGGGATCCAGGGATCTAGAGACTCCTAAGACCCTCCAATATTTAGCGATGATGTCAGACCAGTGATTTTCTTGAGCTCACAGCACAAACTGTTATTAATGTTTCCTGCCCATGTACCTCCTCCCACAATGTGCCAACACACACAGTTCATCATCTGATGATGATGGACATGCTGCAGATTGAAAGTTCAGATTCTGTAGGTGTCCTTAGACTTGGTTAGCGTGAGAATGTCCCCTTGAAAACAATCTCCAAATAAATGAAAAATGCTGGTGACTTCCAGGCAAGTTAGAAAATGAGTTCATTTAGGTTTTCAATGACCATCCTCTCTTCCTCAAATACATTCATTCTCATCCACATGGGCTAGTCTCATGAAGACAGAACCAGGTCAAAATAGTCTCTCAGGGGTTATTTAGGACATAACACTACACAGTGTTGTTAGAATGGTTAGAATCAGACATTTTCCAAGTTAAGGTTAGGGAAGACAGAGAGTCCAGGTGATACCAGAAATTCAGTCTCGGGGCCTGGCATGATGGAAATTAAACTGGCCTGACCCAAATCACTCATAACCACCAAACAGCTGGCATGAGTTAAAAAAAAAAAAATCCTGATTCAGGCCTCCAGGAATAATTTTTTGGAAATCTCTGAGCACTTGTTCTCATTTCCCAAATTCCTCTTCTTCCTTCTTCTGTTGAAGGAACCAGACATAGGCCATCTGGGCAAGAGATTCCAAGAAAAAAGGTAACTCAGCCCTGCTAAACAAAGACCCAAGACTCATTCATACAGAGGCAACAGCCTAGAACATGCTTCTTGTCTTTGCTGGGAATGCCCTTCTTCCCATCCATAGATATACCAGTGGCTTCTCTTAAACTTCATTTTTTAACCAAATTAGACAATCAATTTGTGGAAGGAAAAGGAGGGTTTAAAAAGGAGCCTCAAGGCCCAATCCCAGTGGGAACAAAACCACAGCTATTTGTAGAGACTGAAGAATGTGCTTTTAATCTCTTATGTCTAAGGATTTCATTCTCCAAAATAATCTCTATAGTCATCCCAGTTTAAAATTCTGTTTTTATTACCCTGTCAGGTCTGTACATTGTAGTCACTGCAGCTCCTTTTACTTGGACTTGGACACAGCTTACATCTGGCACCTCATACTCAACATGTGGTCCATGGACCACGATCAACAGAAGTTTGTAAGAAATGTGAATCTCAGGCCCTGCCCCAGATCTACTGAATTAGGATCTGCATTTTAGCAAGATGCCCCAGGTGACTGGTGTAGGAATTTGAGTTTTACAAGTGCCACTCAACTGGACTCTCAGAAAACCAGCTATGAACCTGAAAATTTTCATCAATCTTATTGTGTTTTGCGGTCTACATAAGTTAAAAAAAAAACTAAAAAAATCTGCTTGTTGTTTCTGATATGCACACATATAACAAACTAACAATGTGTATATGTATAAATATGTGTGTATATATATAAAATATATAAATATAATTCCATTTTTGTATGAAGATCCATCCTCTCAGTAAGGAGCTAAATATGATTAGCTCTGTAATAAATTTCTCATATCTTCCAGTAACTAATCTGGACCACACCCACATAGCACCCATGCCAGTCACTGGTTAAATGGTGATAAGCAAAACATCCACATTTTCTGCCTTCCTGGAATTTACAGTAAGTCCACTAAGAAGTTTTCGCAATATCTGGAAAATAGAGACCATATATTTTACATCGTTATGTCTTCCAAAGGGTCTAGAGCTAGAATGGTGCAGTAAATGTTCAATAAACTTTTCTCAAGTTAAAATGATAATAACAGAATGCCTGGAAATTACCTGACTAATATTTTGCAATTGTTCAAGCTGTTCGGATGACACCCATCAGGAAGCTGAGAAAAATGTGGTTAGCTTTTAATTTATTCTGTTTCTTCTCACATTATTAAAGTCTAAACAATTTGTTAGGTTTTGTTTGTAACAAGTAACTTTCTAAATGCAATGTATCCATGTTTTCAATACACGTAAATAATAGTTGGCTATATATGTTGCCTAAGCCTGTGTCTACATGGCAGGAGAAAATAAAGCAAGATGTTCAGCTGGAACTTGTTCTTTTTTTTTTTCCATATTGGTTTCTGCTTTTGTTTCAAGATGTGTGTGTCTGAGAGATTTCCAGACCACAGCTTTTGATTGAGTGACAGTGAGTCAGGTTCCCACCTGTTTTATCTGTAATACTTTCTTTGCAAGTTAAATAGAATGATGGAAAGATTATTTGGCTCCAATACAGAGTGATTTGAAAACAACAGAAAAAAAAATTAGCTGGAAAATAGAAGCATAGGAAAAAATCACAGAGCTGGAAGAAACCTTAGATAAAGTCTAATCATGTTGGAAGAAGAGTAGGGTGAATGGGGACAGTCCCTCCCCCTCACTTTATAGATGAAGGAAAGGAGGTTCAGAAAGGAGAAATGACTTGCCTAAGGTCAATCAAGTTTTAGGGAAACAAATAGAAGTGATTTTTGAAAGATGTCTTCAGTTTTATATAAAAAATTCTCTAATGAATGTACTAGTGGGCTTTTATTTTTATAACCCAGATATATGGAAAAACTTACAAGGTAGGTGATATTTCCCTATGATATTCCAAGCTTTTGTTTCTATTTCCAGTTTTACTCTGATGCCTTTTCTCCAACTCCACCTTGTTGATTTTCTTATTATATTTGAAATGAGTTTCTTGCAGACATCATATAGTTGGGTCACAGTTTTTGTTTTTTAAGCTAACAATCTCTGTCTTCTAATTGGCATGTTTAGACCATTTGCATTTAAGATAACTATTGATGTACTTGGAATTAGGTCCACATTTTATTATTTGTTTTCTGTTTTATTCCTCTGTTTTCCTCCTTCTGCTTCCCCTTCTCTGCCTTCTTCGGGATTATTTAAACGTGTTTTAGCACTCCATTGTGATTTTTTTTTTGTATGTTTGGCTATATCTCTTTGTATAGTTTTTTTGGTGATTGTTCTAGAGAATGCAATAAACATACATAGATTTTTTTACAGTTGACTAGAGATCAATATTTTATCACTTTAGGTGGAATGGAGAAATCTTATCACTATTAAGAATCCTTTGCCAGCCCAGCCAGGGTGGGATCATGCCTGTAGTCCCAGCACTTTGGGAGGCTGAGGCGAGTGGATCACTTGAGGTCAGAAGTTCAAGACCAGCCTGGCTAACATGGTGAAACCCTGTCTCTACTAAAAATATAAAAATTAGCTGAGCATGGTGGCAGACACCTGTAATCCCAGCCACTTGGGAGGCTGAGGCAGGAGAATTGCTTGCACCTGGGAGGCAGAGGTTACAGTGAGCTGAGATCATGCCACTTCTCTCCACCCTGGGTGACAGAGTAAGACTCTGTCTTGAAAAAAAAAAAAAAAAAAAAGATCCTTTACCCTCTCCCATTAATGTTGTAGCTATCTAAAGCATTGTATGTATATATTTTGAAAACCTAATCCAATATGTTATAATTTTTTATTTCAATCATCCAATATATTTTAAAAAACTAAAGAGAAAAGTAGTCTACTATGTCTGCCTGCATATCTAACATTTCTGTACTTATTTCATCATTCCTGATATTCTAAATTTCCTTCTAGTATCACTTACCTTCTGTCTGTTTAGAAGAAATGTTTAGAAGTTCTTCTCAAGGAGGTCTGCTGGTTAAGAATTCTCTTAGTTTTCCTTCTTCTGAGAATATCTTTATTTCTCCTTCATTTGTCATGCATATTTTCCTGAATATAGAGTTGTGGGTTAATATTCCTTTGCTTTCAGCACTTAAAAAATGTCATGCCACTTCTTTCTGGCTTCATAGTTTTTCATGAGAAATTTATAGTGACTTTTAAAACGTCACACCACTTTGTTCTGTCTTCATGGCTTCTTATGACAGATCTACAGTCAGCTGAAACATTGCTCCCCATAAGTCATGTGCTATTTTTTTCTTTGGCTGTTTTTAATACTTTGTCTTTAGTTTTCAGCAGTTTCATTATTATGTATCTGGGCTTGGGTTTTTTGTGGGTGGGGGAGTTGTTTATTTGTTTGTCTTTTTCTGTTTGGAGTTTCCTTAGCTTCTGGAATATGCAAGTTTATGTCTTTCACAAAACTTAAACTTTTCAGCCATTTATTTTCTAACGTTTTTTGGAAAATGCACTTCATTTTCTCTTCTCTTTCCGAGACTCCACTGATATAAATATTACACATTTTGTGATTATCACACAGGTCCCTGAGACTCTATTCATGTTTTTTTGTTTGTTTGTTTGTTTGTTTTTTTCAGTATTCTTTTCTCTCAGTTGCTCAGGTTGGATAATTTCTATTGATCTATCTTCAGTCTACTAACTCTTGCCTTTGACATTTCTATTATATTGAGCTCATCTAATGAGTTGTTATTCTACTTTTTGGCTCTAACATTTTTATGTCATTCTTTATAATTTCAATTTTTATGAGACTTTCTATCTTTCCACTCATTTCAAAAATATTTACTCTTACTTCTTGGAGCGTGTTTATAATAGCTGTTGTAAAGTCTTTGTCAGATAATTTCAACATCTATATCATCTCAGCATTGGCATTTGTTAACTGCCTTTTCCATGCAATTTGAGATTTTACTGGTTCTTCATTTGCTGAGTAATTTTTTATTTTATCATGGACATTTTGGATTATGTTTTAAGATGCTGGGTCTTATTCAAATCTATGAAGAATTTTGAAGTTTTTGTTTTACTGGATGAACAGCATGTTTGGATTGACGCCACAAGTTTCAAACAGCCTTCTGTAGTTTCAATGTCTATTCCATTTTCAAAGCTTTGTAGTGGTATTCAGATCAGACCCAGGTTTGCACCATCCAGTGGCCATTCTGAGACCTGGCCAATAATCTGTCCTATAGTTCAATTCTCAAAGTTTATAGGATGCTGGTTGAGGTCAACCTGTATTTGTACAGGTCATAAGACTAGGAGTTCAGAAATACTTTTATGAGTTTACTTTCCTGAACTTTTCCCTCTCTGCTATCTCCGTGATACATTCCAATTCTCTGAGATTCCTTTTTTTAATCTTCTGGTAGAAAGCTGGACTTTATTTGCCCATTCTGCCATGTAATTCCTGCATATCCCATATCCAGAACCAAGCAGTGGGAGGATAGAGAGAGACAACAGCAGGGGCTCTCCCTCACCCTCTTGAAATTCTAGTTCCATCCATCTGAGAGGAAGGTCCATTCTTTCAGAGTTTCATATGCATATAGGCCACTGGGACCTGGGGAGCAAGAGAATAGGAAAATAAAGAAATAAAAACACTGTCTCTATATGTTGAGACCCCTTTTCTTCTTGTGCTTGAACTAGAGGATTTTTCTGAAGCACTTTCTGTCTATACCAATGGCCACGTCTGGGTTTCAGGATGCCTGAGACCAGGCCAAACAATAACAATTACAACAAAACAAAGGTAAATTCATTGATGGTTTAGTGGTACTTAGAATTCTGGTCTTACCCAATCCACATACTTTTTACTTTTCAGAGCCCTCAAATAACTGCTCCATGCATTCTTTTCAAGTGTTTAACTTCATTGAGTGGGTGGAATATGTTTTTCCATCTTACTGGAAATCAGAACTTTGAAAGCTTTAAAAATTCAAAACAAAACAGATATTTAGGTCTCAGCCCCAGCGATACTAATTCAATTTGTACAGGATGGTATTAGGACAAAAGTTTGGGGTTTTTTGTTGTTGTTGTTTTGTTTTTTAAGATCATCCTTTTGATTTGAATATACGCCAAAGTTTAGAATCTCTGTCATAAACAAAGATACCTTCAGGCAGATATTCATTTTAAAATCTATTGCTACCCTTTATTGCTATCTTGCCAGATACTCTGCTAAATATTTTAAGGGTATTTAACTTAATAGATAATGGTTAAGGGTTTATGTTCTGAGATGAGCTGTACCTGGTTTTGCATTCCTACCAGACCACCCATTGGTTGTGTGTTCTTCAATAATTTGCTTAATCGCCAAGCCTTAGTTTTGTATCTGGGAAATGGAGTAATAATAAAACCTACTTTAAGGGGTTGTTAGAAGTATTAAGTGAGTTAATGAAAGCATACAGCATAGTGCCTGGAATATAGTAAATATTCAATAAACATTATCAAGTATTACCACTGACATTGTATAGGTGAGAAATTTGAAGCTCAGATAGGTTAGGTGAATTGACCAAAACTGCTTCATAGAGCTTTTTAAGTTACATCAACCAGACCCTGAAATATATAATATTACCCTCTGTAATTGGACAGTTGGAAACATCTGAGAAGATCTTTTAAGACTGAAATTGTTCAGCTATAGTTTTGACTTTATGAAAAAGAAGTCTGTACAATTCATCTTAAATGTTCACGAGTAACAATTAAAAAGGCAGCTTCTTCTAGGAAGCCCGAGTGATGATAATATGTGGGCAGAGTCACCAGTGGAGAGTATTTGTTCTAGAAACCTTCAGTGACTTATTTCCATATATGCGTATGCTTAAGGTTTTGCATGATAATAGAGAATAAGAAAATCTTGTGATTTCCTGGCCACGTAGAGTCCAGAAACAATGTTTTGTTTTTGTTTTTGTTTTTGTTTTAAGTTCTTGGACAGGATACATATAGGCTTAAGACTGTGTTCTGGAGCATCCATTAAATGGTTGCTAGACATATAATCTATGCAAATGTATAGTATACATTATGATACAATATTTGTAATTCATGCATAGGGTTTTATTATCTAGGGAATTTTAAATTAACAAGGAACGCCTCCCAGGTTTTCCAAATTAAAGGCTTCACATGATATTTTAACTTATTTGCTTCCCAAAATGTACATTTAATTTTAATTTTCCTTTCTAGTTTTTTCTTTCTCATAATTATTTAAAAAAGAAAAACATGTTTCTTCTAGGCAGAAGAGGTCCCGGTACTCTCCTAGAAGAAGCTCTATCATTGTAATAGGATTCCTTCTTTGAGAATGAAGAATGGTGTCCGACTCTTATATTTCATCTGCCAATGTATTAATAGGAGTAGCTCTTAGGAGATCTTTATACCATCATGTAACATTATCCACATCAGAAACACAACATCTAGCATAAATTTAATGCACCTTTTAAAACCACAATGTTGAAATATTCACAAGCTGTAAATGTGTTCTTGGTCTGTATGTGTAGGTGGAGGGAGGCAAAGTTGTGGTAATAAAGTGGGAAGGCCCGGGAAGAACAGCTAACTGTATAGGGGTGAAATGACGCTGTTGATACTCAGGTGGTAAATGTCAGTATTTTTCCAAATTCAACTTTGACGTTCAGAACAATTATGTCACATTTTCATGGGGAAATAACGATTTCCTTACATTGTAATTTATCTTCTTTGACCTTCAAACGGCATTTTTCACTGTCTTTGTCAGATGTCCCTTTTAACTCTCAATCTTGAGGACTAAGTTTTGGCAAACAAGGATCTCACATTATCAACTTCATTTTAGTGAAGTCATATATTACAAGGAGTTGTTGGCAGCATGGCCTAATAAATACCTCCCTCTTGTGTAGAAACTAGCACAAGTACACATCACAATACTTGAATAGGGGATCTTAGATATGATACATGACATAGTTGTAATGAGCCAAAGGTTTTCTTGGAAAAGACTGAGTGCTTATGAAGCAAGACAGAGAATCCTTCACTCTGAATTGCACCCAGCCACGTGTACAGTGCACATGAAGTATAAGTGGCTTTTAAAGCGTAGTACCTCTGCTAACAAAGGCTCTTTGAACTGAGGTTAGGATAGGATGTGTGGGTTTGTATAAGCATCAGAGTGTTTTAGAAAAAACACAAACATGACAAGTTGGGTGGGGATTTCCATTTTCTAGTAGTATAACATAATAGTCTAGAAGCAGTTGTGTCTGGAAAAGAAAAAACAAACAGATGTGCACAGCTGATTCCAACCATACCCATCGTGGATTTCCCACCGTGTGGCATTTCTCCTGCCAGTTCTTCTCTTTTTAGAAGACAATATGGAGGAGGTGGAAACAGTTGGATTTAACGAGATTCAGTGTTGGGCCTGCCGTTTACCGGCATTGATGGGATACATCTCTTCCCTGAGTCTCAGTTTCTTCATCTGTGAAACGGCAGAAAAACAGTAACGACTCACTAAGTCATTATGACTATTAAGAGAGGTGGCATTTAAAAATAACTTTGAAAACAATAAAGCTTTAAATATATGCTGATAATAACAATGGTAATAATAATAAACATTCATAATGCTAAACATTTACTGAACACTTACAATATATCAGAAACTGCACTGAACATTTTTCATGCATCATCTCACTTGGTCCTCACAGCAACCTAAAGAAACAGGTACCAAACGTGATGCTTATCACCAAGTAAGGACTCAATAAGTCTTTTTTTAGAGGATCTCTATTTTTCAGATGAGAAAACTGAGGTTCTCCAGGCTCGAGGATTCATTCATTCTTTCTTTCCTTCATTCATTTACTGTCCAAATACTTGCATTTAATTTTCCAGCTAAAGACTTCAAGCCCCTTGAAGGGAGAACACATCTCTCTCCAGATCACCAGAACCCCTGGACTGAATGAATGAATTTAGATCAGTAGTTCTCAACCAGGGGTGATTTTGCCACCCAGGGTACATTTGGAAATGTCCAAAAGCATTTTTGCTTGTCATTTTTGCTTGGCCTCTACTGGGTTGAGGCCAGGGTGCTGCTCAGTATCCCACAATGCACAGGACATCTCCTCACACACACACACAAAATGTCAATATGACAAAATGTCAACAATGTTGAGGTTAAGAAATCTTGATTTAGATATATGAACAAAATAGGAAAATAAATTAATGCACTTGCTGAACCGTCTTCCAGAACATAACACGTCATGCAAGCTCTCTCCAGTCATGAGAAGGTGCAAGCTCTCACCTGCCTCTGGTTTGGACCCTCAACATCATCCCTTCATGACCCTCATTCTTCTTTTTTGTGCTTGAGGAGACTTCTCCCAGCAGAGATTAGATGCTTGTGCTTAGCTAACTGCCATGATATGACAACTCAATAGAAAACCTGATAGAAATCCAGACCAGCTTTTCTCCAAAGAAAATCGTCTCCCCCACCTACCTCTGCAAAAGATATTCTGCTAAAACAATCTCTTAGAATAGATCTGGTCAGTCAAAATGAGAAGAGGAGCTGATTCCAGCAAGTTTAGTATATGATTTGTTCCTGATTCTTTCAAACTTTCTATCTTTATATTGTCTTTTACTCATTTTCTGACCTATTAATTTATTTTATCTTTCTAAATTATTCATATTTTTGTAAGGTATTCTTAATCATTTCTAGCATAAGGCAGGGAATAAACACATGCATCAAATAGCAAAGAGAGGCATACCATTTAAAATAGCTCCAACATTTTCCTTGTCTTCATTAGTGTTTCTTGAGCAGGGCTAGGATTTTTTTTTTCCTGTTAAGAATCACTAACTTAGCATAGAAAACTACAAGTAAACAAAAAAGCAACCAATAACCAAGTTTTTTTTCTTGGGGAGGGGTGGTGTTGAGTGAGCAGTGGCAAGACGGGGAGGATAGGAAAAGAGACCAGGGTGGAAGATATACAAGATATTTGATTCACTTTAAAATTCTGAGTAAAAAATACGCAACATTGATTAATAAATACAAAAATATAAACATGCTTCAGGTATATGCTATGCAAGGAAATGAGATAGTGCATAAGAAAAAGAGGTTGGGTAGGAGAAAGAGAAAGAAGAGGGGAAATAAAAAAGAGGGAAGGAGATGGGCGAAAGGGGAGGCGAGAGAGTGAAGTGGGGTAGAAAGGGAAGCAGGGAGGGAGGACCCGGGTGAGGGGATGGGAGAGGATATAAAGAGAAGAGAGGCCTGAGGATAGATAAAGGCCAACCTCTCCTGCCCACCCAATTACCATTCCCTGCAACACCCTCCCCCTTGTCTTGCCTCCTCAAAGCTTCACTCCTTTCTCATTTCTCCATTAGATAAAAATTCTGCAGAATGTCTGTCTGTACAGATTTTATGGTAGGACTTGAGAAATACAAAATGAGAATAATCATTTTTCAACTCAATGTTTTATTAAATTTTTATTGCCTTCAGGAAGGGCAAAGGCTTTATTCTTTAATTATTTGCTAAGCAGTTCCCTCTCTTCCCACCCTCTCTCCAAAACTGCCAGCAAACCTCTTTCCTTTCACAGAATGAACCAGGACAAAACAGGCCCTGTCCACCTATTACTATTACTTACTTTCTCCAAAATAAATAAACAAAACACATACACACCAGAATTCATCTAAGGTGAAGTCAGAAACATTTGTTCAGGTATAAACAAAAAAAATTTAATTCCATTTTCTGTGCAACATTGTAATTGATTTTCTGCAATTTTCAATTCTGTGGGTAGAAAATGGTTGGCAATTTTACACCCCCCATCTTCATGCACATGTACTAAATCCCATAATTAGTGTTGGCTGAGCTGATCGACACTTGAAATAATAGGTGCATTTTTTTAGACATGAAGGATGGTGCTTGGAGGTTAGTTATCCTCTGTAAAAATTCCTGGCAAATTAATTACTCTGCTGTTGCACTGTTGAACATTAAATATTTGATCTCCCATAATTTCAACATTAAAGGCCTTTTCTAGTTTGTTGTGTTTACATCACCAAATCAAAATGTCTTTGACTAAGCAAAGACATATTTAGCTCTTTCAAGATTCTGATAAACACCTCTAAAAATAAAACACAAATTTATCCTCGTACTGAGTATACAGTTGGCAAAACAATTTTGTTAAAGGATGTTACAGAAATCAGGCGATTCTTCCAGGGAAAAGAATGGTACATGTATCTTATAATCATGGTATGGGAAATCTTGAAGTACTTTGAAAGAATCATTCATTTTCTTGTAAAGGAAATGATTCTTCTTTCCCTAGTTCCTACTCCTTCCTGGTAACTTAAGAAGAATAAACAGTATCACCTAAAATCGTGGAAAAATTTTACAAGCCATAATTATTACATGATTTGCAACTGCAGTTACTACTCAGAAAGCCATTCCTATATGTGACTCTGTCTCTAAAACTGTGTCACTGTGTCATAGACTTGTAGATGGTCCAAGACTATTGCAAAAAGGTTACCCAGCTCCTCAATACTGGATCCAGACTCTGTTAGCTGCTGCTTTATTTTCCCATTAGATTTCAATTATAAATCAATGTTTCAGAGAGGACTCTTCTCTCCCAAAGAATTGTCCACTTCTGATTGTTGGGATATTGAAATGTCATTACTAGTAATGTATTCACACACTCCATAAGTGTTTACTGAATACTTTTTGGATACATAAGAAAAGAAATCACAATCCCTTCCCTAAAATGTTTGCAGATTTGGTGTTGGAAGAAAGACAATTGAAGACAATTACAGATTTTAAAAGTCCACTAGTGGGCTGTATGATTTCAACTTGACGTTACGGAAAAGGCAAAGTTATCGTGACAGTGTAAAAGATCGGTGGTTGCTAGGGGTCAGGAGAGAGGGAAGGATGAATGGGCAGAGCACAGAGATTTTTAGAGCAGGGAAAGTGCTCTGTATGATATTATCATGGTGGATACTTGTCATTATATACTTATACATCCAAACCTGTAGAATGTATGATAGCAAGAGTGAACCCTAATGTAAACTGCCAACGCTGCGTGAAAATGATGTGCCAATGTAGGTTCATGGATGGTAATATAGGTACCATTCTAGTAGGGATGTTAATTACAGGGGAGGCTGTGGATGGGCCATTTTCCCTTCCTTACTCCTGACATCTTCCTTATTGTCTCAGCATGTACGGTCCTTCATATTCTTTAAAAGGCAATTCCAGTCTCACGTCATTCATTAAAAATTATCTAACTACTCCAGCTCCAGCCTGATTGACTCCCTTAAAAAAAAAAAATTACTCCAGACACATATTATTTACATAACGAATCTGAGCCCTTAGCCATTGTTAGGTACAGTGAATTGGCTTAGTTAATCTTTATTTCACCCTTTCTGTAGCAGAATTTCTCAACCTCAGCGCCATTGACATTTTGGGCCAGATAATCTTTTATTGTGGGGGCTGTCTTGTGTGTTGTAGGATGTTTAGCAGCATTCCTGGCCTCCACTCGCCAGATGCCAGTAGCACAGACCCGAGGTGTGTTAGCAAAATCATCCCCAGTTCAAAACCGCTTCTAGGGTACTTCACTGAAACTTGGAGGCTAGAAAGCTGAGAACTATATGTCTCAGGTCCTGTTGCAGCCTTGATCCTGGCCAGGAACTAGGTTCTGAGAATTAGCTGAAGTAGTGCTGGATTTTTAAGGTTAAACTGAAGTGGAGATTATCTTCCTTTACTCTTGGCTGTTCTCAAGTGGCAAAAATGGAGTTGTAGAGATACAAAATATTTCTGCAGCAATATTCCACATCCCTTCTCCTGAGTGCTAAGGGCGAGTTGTGTGTATGTGAATGGGGAGTCGAGGGGTGGGAGGGTGGTGAGGCATGAGTGGTCTCGGTGTTCCAGGGCCCATTCTATAATCTGATGAGTGCCCCAAGGCAATTTCCACGGCCACACAGTGTTGGCAGCTACCTGATGTCTGAATAGCAGCTGTCAGAATGAGCTCTTGAACTTGACCAATCTGGTGGTGGCTTCAAAGGTACTAGTTTCCCTTGCGGTCAGTTCTATCATGTTCTAGGAGGTGGTCTCCAAGGGTCAGTGGAGAGCAGACTCTTCAGCCCTTCCACAATTTTTTCTGCACCTAGTTTACTAAAGCAATCTTTCCCCAAACTAAACAGCATGGTTTCTCTTTCCTGCACCGAACTCATGTAATGCCTTACTTGGATTATTTGACTCTTAGTAATTTCCTTTCTTTCTGTGTGGTTGAATTCCAGACAGGAAGGAATCATATTTATTTATCTTATCTGCCCCCCATAATTTCTATCCAGTGTTATACTCACAGTGTGAAATCAGGAAAGCAGTTTGATTAGTGTGTATTTGGCACTGAGTAAAAACTTTCCTGATGAATAAAAAGCTTAAAAGAAGGGATAAAAAACAAAATAGAGACAATCCTCTTCTCTGGTTCTCCCTCATCTTCAGTGTGGGTCTGCACATCTGAGCTAGGAGTAAGAAATTGACTCTAGTAGAAGCTCTTGTGAGACTTCCTTATCAGCGAGCTCAATCATACTCCCCATCCCAGGTAAATGGCTACGTAATGTATCCAGAACACCTTCTTGCTGAAATAATCTCAGTCGGGCATTTGGCTCTAGATCCCTATTTGCTGATGACCCTCAGGTTTGCATGTTCAGACCCAGCCCCTCTCTGAACTTCAAATTTGTATAGACAAGTGCCTATGTGATATTTCCATTTGGATGTCTAATATTCATATTAAATGTATCATGTGCAAAACCAAACCCTTCTTTCCCTAGCCCAGTCTACTTCTTTCATTTTCTTTGCTTCTTAGTAAATGCCACCACCACCCACTCATGTATAAAACCTGCAAAATAACCATTAATTTCTTCCTTTCCTTCAACCTCCACTGTTAGACTATCAGCAATTCTGTGTTTTAACTTGAAAGTTGATCTAAAATCCATCCGCTTCACTCTATCACCTCCATGTCCAGCTTGGTTCAAGCCATTATCATCTCTCATTTCCTAGATGGTTTCACTGTTTCCAGTCTTTCTCCCACATTTTAAAACATAAATTGGATCACGACTCTGCTCTGCATAGATCAAGACCAATAGCTTCTCATCAGGATAAGATCTATACACCTTACCCCAGTGAACAAGGCCCTACGTGATGTGGCCACTGCCTCGTTCTCCAAACTCATGCTATACCATTCTCCTTTTGCTATGGTTGGAATATTTTGTCCCCTCCAAATTCATGTGTTGGAAGCTTAATTCCCAGTACAACAGGGTTAGGAGGTGGGACCTAATGGGAGATGTTGAGGTCATGAGGATTCGGCCCTCACAAATGGATTAATGCCATTATAAAAAAGAGTTTATGGGTTTGCTCTCTTCTGGTCGTCAGCCACATGAAGAACAGTGTTCCTCCTCCCTGAAGGATTCAATGTTTAAGGAACCATCTTGGAAGCAGAGACATGCTCTCACCAGACACCAAACCTGCTGGTGCCTTCATCTTGGACTTTCCAGCTTCCAGAACTGTAAGAAATAAATTTTAGTTCTTTATAAATTATCCAGTCTGTTGAATTCTGTTACAGCAGAATACTACAGGACAAAGACGCCCCTTTTTCATTATACTCTGTCCCTAGGCCTTCTTTCTGTCCTTGAATTGCCCAAGTTCATTCTCACCCCAGGGTCCCTTCCACTTTCTGTACCTGTGCACTGGCTGCCTGTCTGCATGTCTAGTTCTTGTCATCTTCCAGATCTTAGCTCACACGTCATTTTCCAGACATGTTTTGCTTGATCATCCCATCTTAAGTAAGATTAACAGTGTGGCCCTCCAAGTCACCCTGTTAATTTCCTTTATTGCATCCAACACTATCTGAACTACCTCATCTGCTTCCCTGCTCCTTTTTTGCCTGTGCCCACATACCAGAATGTAACCCTCATTAGGGCAGGACAGAGGATTTGCCTCGCTGCTACATCCCAGCACCTGAAACAATGCTTGGCACATAACAGGCTCTCAGGAAATATTTGTTGAATTAATGAATCGTTGAATATGTTCTCACCCAAGTTTTTTAGACTTGTTTTAAAGAGTGGGAGGATAAAGTGAAATAAGTAGCTCTAAGACAATTATCAACTTCACTCTATAGGAAAGGAGAGAGCCTTGCTGAACTGAAAGTGACATTGTCGTTGCTTAGGTATGAAATTGACACTATTTCTGAAAAAGTTCTTTGGTGTTCTTTATTTCAGACACAGCCAGGCCTGGAAAATAGGGGATTCACTGTGTGTTTTGTGCAGAATGGATAACAAAATTAATAATAACATTAGTGATAACAGCTTATATTTACGTAAGTGTTTGCTGTGCATTGGGTACTGTTCTAAGCATTTTAATCCTGATAGTAACCCTTGCTTAGGTACTGTTATTAGTCTCCTTTTAACAGATGTGTAAACTGAGGCTCGGAGAGTTTAAGCCATGGCTAGTCAATGTCAGAACTCTGATTCTCACTTTGGGAGTCCGGCTCCCCAGACGCTGTGCTGCCTCTACTAATAAATACATCTTTTTGATCATGGTGCAAGTGACTGGTGAAATCGATGGGCAAATTCGACTTTCCTTTAAGGTTTGCCAGTAGGTCTGAATGCTCCTTAGAGACCGTCTTGAAACGTGTTAGCCAGCCCAGAAAGCCTGTGCTTGGGGCTTTGGAGTCCAGGGCTTCCAGGCAGAGCTCTATGCTACCTTCCTTCCCAGTCTCTGGACACCTATTTGAATCTCTCTGACTGACACATTTCCTTGCTAAACCTTTACAATCACTCAGACTCAACCAGTGTCGGCATTCTGGTCTGCCATGCCAACGTGACACCATGCTGGGTACTTGGGCATGCGTGGTTGGTATTACCTTAGGTACCTACATTTTTTGCTCTCCCACCTTCCTGTGGCATCTATCCCATTTTTGGAATTAGTGTGCTCCCTTCATGTTGCTGCTTTGGATTCATCAAATCTCTGAAATAACACCTGGCCACTACCTCTACTTTAAGGCTGGCTCATTCGAGAAGGCCTGTTTTAAAAGGTCAGTGTTGTTATTAGTGGAGAACAGCAGTAGCAAAAGCAGAACAGAGTCGGAGTATCAGTGCTCTGGTCAGAAACTCCCTGGGGATCGGAGCAGAAGAAAGAGCATGGAACCCTTTCTTGGCACATTGCTGGACCATGGACTTGATGCAATAATCTGTAAAAGCACACCCATAATACATGCAGTAGTCACAGATTTCTTCTCCCTCCTGCTGGAATACTGAGTTGGGAAAATCTTCCGAGCCTGAGCTGGCATGTTGCTAGCGAGGCAGAGATTTCAGGTGAGAAGTAAATGTGCAGAGCGGATGCAGTGACCTTTCTTATTTGCAGTGTTTTCATTCTGCAGCTTGCACGGCAGGGACCCTGACATCAGAGGCTCTGATGGCCCGAGGCTGTGTTGGAGAGGAGATAAATTAGCCTGCCCTACTTCCAGAGGCTCGAGTAATCTACGTGCAGCACGGAACCTGGGCAGGGCAAGATGTGTGTGGATGAGCGACCTCTCGTGGCTGGTAGTGGGAGCTGCATCGCCTGTTCCGACCGGCTGGAGGAAAGTAGAGGGGACCCTGGGTCACACCATGGTCTGTGTACCCAGTCCGGTCCTGGGTGTTAGGGAGGATTCAAAGGAATTACACACAGGCAAATCTAAGGAGCTTATCCTCTGACCTGGGGAAATAAAAGGAACATACGGTTTCTCTATCGACTTGAGGTCATACGAGTTTCCTAGAAGGGAGAGACCCACACGGATCAGAGTAATCCAGGAAGCTGAGCCTAGAAGGATGATTGGACTTCAGATAAAAAGAGGGAGGGCATTCTGGGATAGGAGAAGAGCACAAACAAATCAGGCAGGAAGAAAAACCTTGATGACATAGAACAAAGATTTTGAATGAAAAAAAAAAATGTTGAATAGTTTGGGGTTTATAGATGCAACTGAAAACCAAGCGATGTGGTAGGGAAACCAGGAATAGAAGGTCCTGCCCTCATAAGCCTTCGTAAAAGACCTCCTCAGGTCTCCGCTGCAGAAAAATAGCCTCACCACGCAGCCTGGGCTGCTCTTTCTGCCCCAGCGTTTGGTGCGTTGTGGACCTATCATGACAAAATCAGGGTTGCAAGCTCAAATGCCACCGGGGCCTAACAGTTAACGTGAATGCATAAAACAGACTGGGTGGGGGATTCTGGCATTTCCGAGATGTCGACTTCAATTTTAAATTTTTCGGTGACATTTAGACAGCCTAGAGTCATGACTAGGATTGGAAGTAGTGGAGGCTGTAACAAAAATAGGAGGGCTTGGGCCTCTTTACAATAGGCAGCAATGACTCAGCTCTGGCCGGTGCTACCGTCAGGGATATTGCCAAGTATTCCAGGTATTCAGTAGAAGCATATACATTATGTAAAATGTAATGGAAAATCTCCCCATGTTTAAATGTTGGATCGACTTTTTTTTTTTTTTTTTTTTGAGACAGAGTTTCACTCCTGTTGCCCAGGCTGGAGTGCAATGGCAAGATCTTGGGTCACTGCAACCTCCGCCTCCCAGTTCAAGCAATTCTCCTGCCTCAGCCTTCCAAGTAGCTGGGATTACAGGCGCCCATCACCACATCTGGCTAATTTTTGTGTTTTTAGTAGATAACGGGGTTTCACCAAGTTGGCCAGGCTGGTCTTGAACTCCTGACCTCAGGTGATCTGCCCACCTCGGCCTCCCAAAGTGCTGGAATTACAGGCATAAGCCACCGCGCCCGGCCTGGATCAACTTTTGAAAACATAGTATGGATCAGAAAAACCATTTGGCCTGCAAATTGTCACTTTATAAATGGGGATTTGGATTAATCAGGTTTATTCTGGAAAAGAAAATTTTAAAACACTGAATTAAGTAGATTCTTATGTTTGGAGGAGAGCTATGGATGCTGGTGGCTGCTTTCATTTCTTTTTGGTGAGAGCCGAAAGTGTTTTTTCTCTGATGGGTTCCTTGAAAAGGGCTCGGGCTGAGGTCAGGAGCCTTTTGCTCCTGTTGTCTCTCTGCCTCTTGTTAGCAAGTTGGGGTAACTTTTCTGAGTTTCTGTTTACTCATCAGTGAAATTGGCAATCTAATTCCAGGTCCTTTTAGCTCAAACATTCTGACTCCTAAGGCACCATCTAGATCTAAAATGCCACAATTCTTATTCCGAGCTGGAAGCACATGTGCTTTCCAGCTGACCTCACCTTACCTTATGCTCAGAGAGAGTTGCATTTTGTGTGCTAGCCTCCTGTGATCCTTCAAGAAAGGCAGTGTAATGTAGCAAAGTCATCGTCAACCTTGGCCACACATTGGAATAAACTGGAGAGTTCTGCAACAAACCCAATGTCAGGCCCCATTCTGAACCACCCAGACAAAGGGAAGTGGCCTCTGGGGATGGGCCCCAGGCATGGAGCTGTTTTCATGACTCCCTCAGTGAGTGTCATGGGCAGCCAGGATTGTGAATCAATGGTGTGGGCAGAAGTAGGCATTTGACCCGGTCTCTGGAATCTGAAAAAGCTGAGCAGCAGCAATGCACATTGGAATCTGAGGCAAAAGGGAAAATGTGGCCTCCTATACACACTTATCAAAACATCCACCCCTATTCTGAACAAAATGGAAAAAGTTAATAAAATCTCTACAATCAGAAATCAATGACTATATATAAAGCCTGTGTTGCCCAATCTGTTCATGCACTATTGTCAACACTCATCAACCTGGCTGGGTACTCCATATCCATGTGATGCCATGGAGCCGTGGACTCATCAGACAGGCTGATTCCCATTGCACAATAATACAGCGTCATAAATCAAGCCAAGGACAGCAGCCTGTCGTCTTTACTTAAAATGATGAAAGTTTGCTCATTATGGGTATTCTTGCATTCATCTTAATTTTTTCAAATACTGAATTCAGATATTATTTATCTTGATTACTAAATGTTTTGCTGCTCTCTTCAATTTTACACCCACATTGAGTAACTCACTCATCCCTCCCTAATCCTGGGTTCAAATGCTGTCTCTGCCTGGGTAAGTTACTTAGCCAGTCTAAGCCTCCACTTACTCTTGCATAAGAGGCAATCTTAACCTCTTTTATAGAGTTGTGAAGATTAAATGAGGTAATGTAGTAAAGAGCTTAGCACCAACTGGGAGCTCTCGAATACACTAATATGTGTTGGCTAATGTTACATACAAAGATTATGTAATACTATGGTTATCATAGGTGCGATTTGTCTGTTTATTCCAAGACAGCTGGCTCACCTGGGGTTTCCCAGTTCTCTGTGGTTATAGAATTGGGGGTGTCTCAACATCATAAACTGTCTCCAGCCAGTGCCATCTAGATTAGTGGCATTCAAGCTCTTCCACACAAACCCCCAAATCCAAAAACAACCAGTTATTATTCATAGCCAAACCATGACTATATAAATTGACTAAAAGGCATAATTATTTTAATCTATTCTATATATTTGGCTCTGTGCAAATTTAATTTTAAAAGAAACGTAATCAATTTGAAGAAAAAGTTACATATACTTAAAATGTTTGAAGACTACACTTCTGGATCGTGTTTTCAAAGTTTAATGTCCCGAAGATTCAGCTGGTGGCCTTGTTACATGTAGATTCTGATTCAGTAGGTGGGTGGTGAGGCCTGAGCCTCTGCATTTGGAGCAAGCTCTCAAGTAGGACTGGCTACATAATTTGTGGAGCCCAGTGCAAAATACAGGACTCCTTGTTCAAAAATCATTAACAATTCCAAGATGGCGATGACAAAGCACTAAAGCAAGTGGTTAGTGGTTTAGTGGTTTCTCAAATCAACAGGAAAAATACAGAAACGCCAATAGAAATTGGACAAAAAGTATAAACTATAATTTTATGAAAACGCAGAGCTGGGCAAAGTAGCTCACACCTGTAATCCCAGCACTTTAGGAGGCCAAGACAGGCAGATCGCTTGAGCCCCAGAGTTCAAGACCAGGCTGGGCAACAGTCTCAAACAGTTCCTGAGCGCAAAGCCCTACACCTCTGCTCAGGTCATGTGCCAGGAAGCCAGTGCTGCTCTCAGGCAATGCTGATGTTGCTGGTTCAAGGCATACTTTGAGTAGCGAGAGTCAAAACATCATTGTCCAAGAGAACTTTTTGTGATCACGGAAATATGTTCTATCTGTGCTGTTCAGTACAGTAGCCACTTAACCACATGGGGCTATTGAGCACTTGAAATGAAGCTGGTGTGACTGCAACGAACGTTTTATTGAATTTTAATTAAATTTAAATGGCCCCATGTATCTGGTGGCTGCTGTAGCAGACAGCACTATTTGGACGTCAACTTTGTCCAGCAGGACAGCTTCTTACTTTAGCAAATTGTCAGTTTCCAAGTTGACTACAGAGCATTACAGTCAAGGGGGGTCAGACCAGATCCTTTTCTTTATGTTTTAATACATCTATTTAAACTTAAAAAAAAATCTGACAGGTAGTAAATGCTACTCCAAATAGTCTCATGGAAAAGACATGGCCCAAGCTGGCAGATAATAATTTTTCACATGTACTAAATATATATATATATATATATATATATATATATATATATATATATATATATTTCTAATTTACTGTAGAAAATATTGGCAATTCATATGTTAAAAGTTTCTTGTCTCCTCTCATAAGAAATGATTGACAGCCTTTAAGTGCTGTCTGTGTCTCTTAAAACAAAAGTGACTGACATTCTTCAAGCAGACACACTTTTCTGCAGCCTTGGATGTGACTTGCTCTCCCTAATGTGAAGGTGGTTTTCAAGCATCCTTGCTGCTTCTTAGGCTTTTAACCCTCTGTGGTCAGACGCCTTGTGGCTGGTAGTTAGAATGAGCCTGTACAGGGAGGCAAGACCCGCCTGAGTGCCACCAGGCCTGCTATGATGAAACAAAGAGGTACTTCAATTCTGAAGGATTTTTTTTTTTAATTTGGGCTGAGTGAAATCTCCAAATTACTAATCTCCAGAGGGGTTTTCTGATTTCCAAACTTTGTTCAGGACTTTAAACTTTCTTTTTGAAACAGGATTAGTGTGGCACTCAGTGAGAGAGATAAAGGGAAGAGGGAGGGAGAAAGGGGGAGAAGAAAGAAAGAAAGAAGAAAAGAAACAGAGAAAGAAAGAAGAAGAAGAAGAAAGAAAGAAAAGAGAGGGGGGAGGGAGAGAGAGAAAGAAAAAGAAAGAAGGAAAGAAAGAAAGAAAAGAGAGGGAGGGAAGGAGAGAGAGAGAAAGAAAGAAAGAGAGAAAGAGGAAGAAAGAAAGAGAAAGAAAAGAGAGGGAGGGAGAGAGAGAGAAAGAAAAGAAAGAAAAGAAAGGGAGGGAGAGAGAAAGAAAGAAAAGAAAAAGAAAGAAAGAAAGGAAAGAAAAGAGAGAGGGGAAGGAAGGAAGGAAAGAAAGAAAGAAAGAAAAAGAAGGAAGGAGAAAGAAAGGAGGGAGGGAAGGAAGGAGGGAGGGGAAGGAAGGAAGGAAGGAAGGAAGGGTAGATGGAAGAGAGGGGAAGGTAGATGGAATAGAGGGAAGAGAGAGAGTAGGAGGAGCAGGAAGAGAGAAAGAGGGAGGAGGAGAGAGACAAAGGGAGAGAAAAACCGAGAGAGAAGAGAGAAAAACATCTGACTTCTTGAGTCAAAGAAGATGCTATCAGAAGGCTGGGCAACCAGGAAGGAGGGAAGGAGTGTGAGAAGGGGCTCGTTTAAGAATAACAGTCTAAAACCAAAGTTCTACCCAGCAAGAATGTGTAAGTACCAAGGAAAACAGCCCTTGGTTTCTGTGACAGTTTTTTCTCTGGATCTGTAGTTAGTTCGTGGCTCTTGACATCAAAGCATAAAACACAGGAAGGATTAAACATTCTCCAAGTGCTCACTGCTTAGCAGCCCCGAGATACAATACTTAGACATCTAACACTTGGACACAGACCCAGGAATCTATGAGAAGTTAGGAGTGACAGGACAGTGGGGGAAAGGAGGTGTTATTCAAAAGGGTTAGGTCAACTGGCCAAACATTTGGAGAAAATAAATATTGCTAAATACTTACACTTTACAACAAAATAAATCCCAGATGGATGAAATATTTGTGTGTTAAAAATAAACAAAAACCCAAACTATGAAAGTGTTGGTAAAAAAGTGGAGTTTCTGGGACAGGAGCATTGTAGGCACTTAATTTCACCAAGCACTGCCAGATTGCTCTCCCGAATGGCTGCCACCCTTCCATTGCAAGTGCAAGAAGGGGTCTGTGCCTCCAAATCCACACCAACATCTGAGATTGTCTAGTTTCTGGTTTCTGCATTCTAATAAGCTCATTAGTGTTTTAAAATGCATTTCTCTGATTACAAGTGAATTTGAACATCTCTTTATACACTTGTTAATTTTGGGAAGTTTCTATTTCCTTTTATTTTATTTTATTTTATTTTATTTTATTTTATTTTGAGATAGAGTATCACGCTGTCACTCAGGCTGGAGTGCAGTGGCATAATCTCGGTTGACTGCAAACTCTGCCTCCTGGGCTCAAGCCATCCTCCCACCTCAGCCTCCCCAGTAGCTGAAACTACAGGTGCAAGCCATCACGCTGGGCTAATTTTTGTATTTCTTGTAGAGACAGAGTTTCACCATGTTTCCCAGGCTGGTCTCGAACTCTTGGGCTCAAATGATCTACCCTCCTCGGCCTCTGAAAGTATTGGGATTACAGGCATGAGCCACTTCGCCCAGCCCTGCATTTTTGTAAAATGCCAGTTTATATTTTTTTGCCAAATTTTTATTAGAGTTTCTGTATTTTTCCGGTTGATGTAAGAAAGTTCCTTGTATGTTCTAGATATCGGTCTCTTGTTAGTTTAGGGTCTGCAAAGATCATTTTACTCTTTGTCATCCACTAACTTTGTCTATGTTCATCTTGGTCGAAGTCCTTCATGTTGGTGCAGTGAGCTTCCTCTCACACAGGTCCCTAAGCAAATGCAGTGTTTGTTGTTTACAGTGGTGGAAGCTGGAGGTGAGCAGTGCGTCCATTCCTGGGAGGGCTATTGGGTGAAATGTGGGGCATGCATACTACCGAGGGCCAAGCAGAAGTTAGTAGCAATGGACCCGAGGCACACTAACATCAAGGAGGGACCCTAAAAATGTAGTCCTGAGCAAAACATGTAAGACACAGAATAAGATATACAACGCAATATCACTTATGCCACTTAAAATGTGTGAGCATTATACAATACATATTTAGCAAAAACAAATGCATACAAAAAGATACATATTTAACACATTGGACTGGTTGTATGGGGAGACTGGAATAGGAAATATGGATAAAAGGGATTTTAAAAAGTAAAGAGGGACCTAGGAAGATTAACTACCGATAATGTCTTAGGAAATGAGGAATATAATTAACTGCACCAACTGCACCTGTGGACCTTACAATTCGACTACAGAAGAAAACATAGGTAAATATTTATATTGTGTTGGTATAAGAAAAGACTTTCTAAGAGCAATGCTTATGACAAAAACTATAAAGGAATAGGATGATACAGCTGTCATATTGTGATATAATAAGAAATATATAGGCTAGGCGCAGTGGGTCACACCTGTAATCCCAGCACTTTGGGAGGCTAAGGCTGGTGGATCGCCTGAGGTCAGGAATTCAAGACTAGCCTGGCCAACATGGTGAAACCCTGTCTCTACTAAAAATACAAAAATTAGCCATGCGTGGTGGTGGGCACCTGTAATCACAGCTACTCAAGAGGCTGAGGCAGGAGAATCCCTGAAACCCAGGAGGCGGAGGTTGCAGTGGGCCGAGGTCACACCACTGCCCTCCAGCCTGGGAGACAGAGAGAGACTCTGTCAAAGAAAGACAAGAAAGACAGAAAGAAAGACAGAAGGAAAGAAGGAAGGAAGGAAGGAAGGAAGGAAGGAAGGAAGGAAGGAAGGAAGGAAGGAAGGAAGGAAGGAAAGGAAGGAAGGAAGGGAAAGAAAGAAAGAAAGAAAGAAAGATAAAAATAAAAAATATATTTCTGAAAGTTTATAAAACTAAGTATCATAGAAATTTAAATAATTGAATTTTTCAGGGGTGTGTTTTGCAAGATTTTAGCAAATAGACTTCTGAAGTTATTAAAACTCACAGCTGTGCTGAGCTTCTTGAAACACTTTGCGGATAAGGTTGCCTCTGACTTCAGTTTCACTATAGCTACTCGGCACATGTGTAGGTGGTAGCCTCCCCATTTTCTCTCCTAACCTTCTGCCCTTTTAACTGGTGATCTATATGTGAGGATGGCTGCTAATGTGAACTCATTTCCTGCTCCCCAAAGCCATGTGATTTCCATGAAGTTGCAAGCTAGATATAGTTGCATCAAAGCAAAGGTATAGGGAGAGGGTTTAAAAAAAGTAGGGGCACTGGGGTCACTCGGCCTGGACAAGAAGAAACTCAGCACAGGACAACTGTCTTCAAATACCTGAGGGGCTCAAGAAGCAGAGATGCCATGAGGAAATGCTTTCTACTCATGAAAGCTCTCCATCAAAGAACTGGGCTCCTTTGAGAAGCAGTGAGTTCCCCGTCCCTGGAAATGTTTCCCCTGTAGAGGAGATCCTCTGCTGGGTTGAACCAGATCACTGCCAAGGTCTGATGATGCACTTGCATTTGGGGATTGACTAAGCACACAGCTGCATTATCAAGTTGCTTCCTCAAAGGATGAGAAGAAGACCACAAGGGGAATCGGTATCTGAGGAGGAGGCTTTGCTGCACGTGCCTGGTAGCCGGTGGAGAGCAAGATTGCAATGTGAGCTTAATTTCCTTAACGTCCTGCTTCTCAGATTCAACATCAGCTTCAGCCAGACTGCTCTACCCACTGTCTTCCAGTCCCAAAGCAGGCTGACCTCTCCACCTTCTAAACTGCCTTCCTCTCTACCTTTCCCACCCTAACCATTTTCCCACACCTCTCTTCCTCCATGGAGTCATCTCTTATAACTTCATTCTCCATCCTCTCCTGTGGCGCTTAGCGGGGGTCTATTTCAACATCATTGATAGAGCTCACCTTAGTCTACACACTTGCCCATTTACCGCAGAGCAGCAAAACATAAAAGTTAAGACACTGGCCTTTGGAGTCAGACCAAAGTTAGAATGCAGGTCCTACCAATAACTACTTATTAGAATTTCCTTACCACCCCTCAACGTTGGTTTCCTCATTTGTCAACTGAGCAAGATGATGCAATTTCCCGCCTATTTCACCAGGCACTAAGTGCATCATATGGATAATCTCTCCTAATCCCTTCACAACCTAAGAGGTAGGTACTCTTTACTATTTTCATTTGATGGACTCAGAGAATTACTGTCAGGCAGGTACAATGCCTTACCCAATGCCTGGCGCACTCTCAGCACCATACAAATGCCACCTCTTTTTGTTATAAGGCAGGCTGTGGGAGCAGGCGCTATTCTAGCAATGATAGCCCTAACTCCACTCCTTTCTCCTCATTGACCATGACAACCTATGGGGATGTGATACCGAAGTTGAGAATAGCCAGTCTGCACACTAATTTGGCATTTATTACATTCGATCTTGGACTTACCACGTCACTCACGTGTCTAGATGTCTTATCTCTTGAGGACAAGAACTTTCAGTGACACATCTGGACGCTTCCCCCAAAGAACTATGAGCATCCCAAGCTCACACAGTCATGGTGAATGGGAGAGGTGAATCCCAGCTGGGTGGTGCCTCCAAGTCAGGCTCAGGAAGGGAGCTTCCCAGGTGCCAGACAGATGCTTTCGGAAGAAATGACAAGCTGTGGGTGGAGGCTCAGATAACGGAGAGCTCTGGGTCTTCACACTTCCAAGCTTACCTTGGCAACAGTTCTTTTCCCTGTTCTCTTTTGAAAGGGAATTGTGTGACTGCTGGCACTAGGCAATTATCATTCATGAACATTTTTTTTCTCATGTCATGTCAGGAAAAGACACACACAAACCTTGCCTGTGAACAGTACATTCAGGAATTACAGGCATGAGCCAATCTAGTTTTAAAAATGATGTTGCCATCTAAATTCCATTAACTCTACAATGCAATCTCCCTTAGACCAAAATATTGCAATTTCCTTCTCTTTTTACTTTCTTTTTCTCCAATTTAATTTGATTTTTGCTCTCTTTAGAGGATACACAGTAATCAGGTTAAGCCATCCTCTTTTCAGTATTGCCGTTAGAGTTCCTTCTCTTTCTATTTCAGTCCATTCTCTACTTCTTCCTTAATCCACTTTCTGCCCAGTGAATATCCCAAGAAGAACTGGACAGAGATAAATCATTTTGCCTTGGAAACTTATCAGGCTGAAAAAAAAAAATAAACAAGCTGCTGCCCTTCGAAAGTCGGAAAATCACGTTAGCCTAAGGTACCAAGTCTGTTTATTTTCCTTTATCTAAGGGATAGATTTCATTATGAAAGCTGGGCCTGACTGAATGGCCAAAGAAGTCCTTAACACTAAGGAAGTGCCAGAAATAATAAATGAATGTGTTTGCTATTGAAATGGTCCAATCTGGATTTCAGAAGGGATTATATATATATATTTTTTTGAGGGTGGCAATCATAGAGGTTTTAAATAATAAATCTGCAACTTCAGCTCTTTTTGAGGGCATACAAAAATAGCTTGCCAACTCCCGAAAGCCCAGAGAGTAATTGATTTAACAAGACTGAAGCAGTATTGCTTTTTAGGCAGTTTAAGCTATAAACAATTTCTTCTTAACACCTTTCCAATGTTTGGGATAATAACATTCATCGAATTAGATGAAGATATACACATCTTTTAAAATATCCAGGCTTTGTTCTTTCTCTTTCTATATCTGAGAAAATGAAGAATAGAATGAAGAAACTAGAATGGAGTAAGTGACAAGACTAAGTGGTTTTGTTTCTTTCTTGTGCGTTTTGTTTACATGTTGACTTGGAAGAAAGGGCTCTCTGCCTACAAGATCTAGTTAAGTGCCTTTTTATTCTTTGGGGAAGGGAAATGAAGAATAACAATATGATAACATTTTCATCCTGGCAAGGCTGGAATGGTTACCCCATCCAAGGTTAGTGCAGTGAAGGAGAACATCCTGGACTGGGATCATGCAAAGAAGCATCCCCAGCGATTGGGAAGCTTCACGGAAACTCCATAACAAAAACTCAGGCACCCTGACTTGTTCACGAGTTCCCATATCCCGGTCAGCCTTGCTACCACCCTCACTCCAGCTTCCTACACTGGTGTCCCAGCCCACTGGGATTCTGCCACCCTGCAGCAAGATGGCTTTGAACTGGGATAACCTTCAAAAACGTCTTCCTGGTTACATGCCCACCAGGTTTTGGACATCCTTGGTTAGAGCCCCGCCAATGTGGCTTGGAAAATTCTCCATCCAGGAAGACTGGACACAAATCAACAGGCAATTCCTGCCATCCAAAGGGAGAATCTATGTTCTTCCAAAGAAGACTATGAGCCATTTAATCTGCAGGGGCAAGAAGGAATATATAAAGGCCTTTTGGTACAATTCTTGTTCTTTTTGTCAAACTTATCACTGATGGTATGATGATATAAATCAACAGAAACCAACATGAATCTATCTCATCTATCTATCTATATCTATCTTCTAATCTGTTTCTAATCTATCTATCTATATCTAATCTATCTTCTAATCTGTTTATCGTAATGTAAATGTAGATCCAATTAATATTTTTGCTAATATTTCTACCATATTTACATGATGTAGCTTGACACAATAATGTCGTGACATTTAATCTCCCTTTTTTAAATGGACAAAATTAAAAGCAATTCAGCCCTAGGCGATGCAGCAGGCAACAGTGTATTATCAAATATTGTCAGTGACTCTATGTGGGCTGTGGAGAAGGCTCCAGAGTATGAAAATTGAGTGGAAGAGTAGGCTTGTACACTTTGTGAAGCACACATGAACACAATTAGAATTTGCCTCAAACTTTGCAGTCAATTTACCTTGAATTGATGTCAAACAGGGAAAATTTCAGCCTGAGGACACATTCTAAAGGAACTGATCAGTATAGGAGAACAGAGGAAACAGAGCGAACTGGAATGGGCGTGTTAATAGGAACTCTGTCTCAGTCATGCCTGTAGTGTTAATGTGAATGCGACAGTGGAATGAGTATCATTGAAGCAGATAATTCCTCTTGTTCCTATTACCCCACCATTCAACCTGCCAACCTGTCATTATTTTAAAGTAGAATTTTTTTCCTCCGTTCTGTTTTTAGCATTTATATCTGAGCACTGAGGTGCTACAATAATGTACCTGTAAAATGTACTGGGAGGGAGCCATATCAGGCCAAAGTCCACAGCCACAAAGAACACTTGAGGATCTTCAGTATAACTAGAGGCACTGCAAAAATATACCTCAAAACAACGTGGTTACGGTGGATGATCTTTATTTATCAAGTGCCTAGCTTATCATGATTGACTGTCTTTATTTGATAAGTATCCGTCTACTCAGCTGCTCAAATGGAAATGATTCTGTCACCAGAGTTATGTGAAACCAATAAAAGTCAGTCAAAGGGTCCTTAATGAATCTTCTCTCCAATATCCATCTCTATAATGCTTAATGCCCAGGAAGGGCCCAGGCCAGGATACCATCTGCTGTTTCATCAAATGGGTGAAAGGAAGGGTCTGGGGTTAAATGACATGATATGGTGCTTTAGCAGCCACGCCGTGGGGCCAGTACTAAGCCTCTATCTCTTTAGATCCTGAAGTAATTGGAAGCAGAATGTACAGGAGCACACTGAGGTCATCTCATCCCTGCTTCCTTTTTTAAGGGAAGAAGTCATGTAGGGTGGGAAGATCCAGTTTGGAAAAGAAAACAAAAGTCAAAATGATAGGGCTGTGGGATTCTACCTGGGGTTCTCATCAACTTTATATCCTTTCTAGGGGACTGTTTCTGGGGTGTGGGTAGATGGCTTTCATCCTGGCTTTCAATGGATTCTAGTCCCATCCAATCCAATTTAATCTCTCAACACATACACCCCTACATGCCTTTGATGCCAGATGGGGAAGAAAGGGCAAAGTAATGGAGGAGAGAGTTGAAGCCAAAAGTTAGGCAAAGGGGAGACAGGATAGCAAAGGAAGCAGATGGGGCAGGAGATCTGGAAAAGTGACTGAGAAATGGTTGTAGGTGAAGCATGGACATGCAATGCACAAAGTCTCATCAAAGCTGTCTTATCTGCCCAGTGTGTGGTCTCACACCACCCCAAGTTTTGTTTTTCTATCTCAGTGGAATTTTGTGCATATGTACTGGGGCCGGGAGGAGTGGAAGCTGGGTTTGGCGTGGTGGGAAGGGAAATATGATGAGAGGAAAGGAATAAGAAGAAAAGAACTGCTAATAATACCCTTGATTCTCCTCTCTTGGCTTCGCCTCCATGTTTATCCAGAATGATGTGTGATTACAAGAGCAAGTACTGCAGATTCAGCAGCCGGGGCATGAAAATTGAAATTACTCACCTTTGAAGAAGGACACATTTGTGATCGGATAAATGGAATGGCTGTGTTCATTCATCAGAGGCTGCTATGCATTGAATTTCCAACTGGTTAACTTCTAAATAACAGGACTTGCTATAACGAAGGCTGAGGGTAGTTGAGTTTGGTTCTTATATCATAAAAAAGCATCAGGATTTTCACTTATATTAAACTTGGTGGGGAGCTCTTGATATAAAGAAATAGCAAATTGTGACCTGTGGTTCTTCATCTGTGTGGGAAAATATGTGAGAAATCTATGGCAGGATATGAAAAAGACTATGGGGCAAAGAGAAAGAAAAGTCATAGAGATCAAATTTGGCAACATCTATCCAAGCACTGCCTAAGGGAGAAGATGCTCTCTGGGTGATAGGAAGTATGTCCCCATCTAAGAGGGGGAATGTATACAACTATCAGACTCTATGCCATTAAAAATTCCAATCCAATTCTGATGCCATGCTTACCAATCCCCCTGCAATGATCTGGCTTCCCAGAGAACTTGCTTAAAAGGGAGAGAAGAGACTTCTCAGGCCAGTGCAAATGTCTGGGCTAGCCAAAGCTTCACTTCCTATTGTCAATTTATACACTTGCACTTTATATATTTGTTTTAATATTCTAATTGCAATTCTCTTGTATTTAACTGAGTCAAAAAATGACATCCGAACAAAGCTCTCCTTCTTCAGAGCCATGAGGAGTAGTCATGATCAAGATCAGCAGTTGTTTCCAAATGTGTAACTCCCTTAATTAATGGAAGCTGATGTCTACAAAAATATCAAACTGTATAAGATGAATCAATTTTGAAGGGATCTTAAGTGAGTCTTCTTACTGGGTTGACTCAGTTGGTTATGTATTGACTTTGAATTTAAATACCACATACTTTACTTTCCATTGCTAAGTTCATCTTGCTCTTTACCCTGCATTTATGCCAATGGCAGAAAACACATGACCTTGTCATCCCTTCTAGCTGAAAGACATCTCTAGGAGAGTTGCCCAGGCTTTCAAGATGTCTCCCCATTTCATTGGTAAGGACATTCTCTGGGTCTTCCCAGTATCTGCAAGGAATAGCTTGACCCACCCGTTCTTTTAGGTGCCATGCTGTCACCAGTGCTAATAACTCTGGCTCTGGCAAATGCCTCTAGAATTGAGTTCCCACACTCTATGACCTCCTTGTCCCATCCCCAGGCTTCCAAATCTCTGAGCTTATCTAGAACTCCCAAGCAGCCTCTAAGGCTTAGCTGTCAGCCCCTGAGCTGTTGGCCTCTTACTCTCCCTAGCATGTTGGTTGCAGAGCCATGCCACTCAATTCAGCTTTTCTTCAGATACATGATCAGAATAATCTTTTTAAAACTCAGATTTTTTTTCATCATCCCTTCTCCCAGAGGATTCAATGACTCACCATTGCTTTTAAGATGAAGCTTCTTACTGAAGCCAATGTGCCCAGGTTGCCCTTGCCCTGTTCCCACTCTCATCTGGCCCCACATTCTCTCCAACCTCTGCCCCAGCCTCACCAGCCCTCCTCTGTCTGCATTACTCACCATGCTCCTGCTTGCCACAGGGACTTTGCACATGCTGCTCCCTCCAACTTGAATGCTCTTTCTTCCCTCCTCCCTAGTTAACTCCTATTTGCCCTTCAAATCTCAGTTCGACCTCAATGTAGTCAATAGATGGATGAGCTGTTAAGGTATGTGGATGCCACCTTTTCTATGTGAAGGCTTTGAAGCTGTAGTTTGCAGCTGATTTCTTGTTCCCTAGTGAAGCAGGGGTGGTGGATCAAAAGTCTGCCCTTGACTTTCTCCTTGCCTTAGACCCTAGGACTCTGTCAACCACAGCGTGAAAACCACTGCTTTAGGTGATAAAGAATCATTTAAAGCAGAGGAGGGCAAGATGACATCTATGCTTTGGGCAGCTGGCTATTGAAGCAGTCCATCATTGCTGTAGGGAGATCATGCATCTCTCATGTACCACTTCAGATCTTTTCAGTCTCCAGTCTCTTGCTGCAGCTGCTGCCATGGCAGATAGCACTACACGGGCTCTAGCAGACTCAATAAAGGTGCATACTGATGGTTGCCTGCTTTTCTCCCCAGGGCCAAGTGCCTCTCACTTCCCACCATGGGGTTTCCCTGTTGATATCAACGCATGGGACATCACAGGATCCTCCCCAGCACTCACAATTCCTCAATCTGTACGTTCAGAAACTTATTACATCACAGGGTTAAGTTCTCCCTTTCTCCCCACCGTAGAAGGATGGTTCTGAGAATGAATTTCTGTGGCTTTTCAGAAGATTGTTTTCCAGGCTCAAGCAATCGGTCACACTTAGCAATAGCCAACGCAGTAACACACCCTTGTATTGATTCTTCCTCCCTCCGTGTCTCTCTCCTTGTCTGCCCCTATGTCTCTCTTTGTGTGTGCTCCCTAATAAAGTAGCAGCCTCTGCCTCTGGCTAAGATAGAGAGACAGGAAATCAAGGCACAGAGATTTCCAGCAGGTCCCGGTCAGCAGAAGCCCATTCTTAAGTTTGGATGACTGGCGGCTTTGCCAATAATTCATGAGAGAGATGATCTAGGCCTAGTCACAAAGAGTAGCTATGAGAATAGAAAGAAGAGATAGATCAGAGAGAGATCTGGGGAGAAGAAAAGGTAGAACATAATGACCGATGGGATTTGATCTAGGATGAGTCCCAGGTTTCTAGTTGGTGCACTTGCGTAGGAAGATAGAAGTTCAGTTTTGCAAATGTTGTGCTAAAGCTGCCCATCAGATAATTAAAGAGAGGTGTCCAAGAAGTGGCTGGAGTTATGGATCTGGAGCTTAGGAGAGAGGTCTGAGCTGACCATGAAGGTGTGAGACTCATGGGGGTGCTTGGAGTCAAGGAGAGGGTGAACTGAATCACCCAGAGAAAGTACACAGAATAAGAAGAGGGCTAAGGAAGGAGTGGGGTGGATGAAAAAGAACAGCTATGGAAGAGGAAGGACAAGTCTGAGACGTGTGAGCATATGAGCCAAGTGGTGTCCAGCCCAATCACCTGAGAAAATGATCACTGGTACATTTCTACATGAGAAAACAGAAGATTGGAGAAACACAGTCAAAAGAACTTTTGTTTATATGAAACTGACATAGTAGCTCCCAACTTGTCCTAATAGATAGGTAATAGTCAACATAACATGGTCACTAACTCTAAATAACTTCTAAACTTTGAAACTGAAAAGACTGAACCATATGATCTCGGCAGAAGTCATGGTATTTAAGGGAAAAATTCCACACTTAAGAGAGGGGAAAATGTCAACTTACTTGCAAATTGATGAGTGCTTCAGTTTTAGTAACTCTCAAATAAGGATTCTTTGGCTGTATCCATACTCTAGGTCCAAATGTTCATTTGGGGAATTGGAGAGGGATAAGTTCTCCATCTCTTTCTTAGATTTATATCTATATTCAAAAATATAAAATAAACTTTTAAAACCTAACAAACAAAAAAACTTGTAGTTGTGGAATTTTTAATGATCATTTACAAAAGGGGCTCATATAGAACTTTTGAAAAAAACTCATTTTAATTGTGTATTCGGGGGCAAATTCAAAATAAAATTTACCGTTGAACAACACAGGGGTTAGGGGCACTGATGCTGTGTGCAATCAAAAATTCATGTGTAACTTTTGACTCCCCAAATCTTAATTACTAATAGCCTACTGTTGACTGGAAGCCTTACAGATAACAACATCCGTTAATACATATTTTGTATGTTATACCTATTTCTACTGGTATATACATAACATATATATATGTTATATATATACTTATAATAAAGTGAGCTAGAGAAAAGAAAATGTTAAGAAAATAATATAGAAGATAAACTATATTTACTATTCATTAAGTGGAAGTGGATCATCATAAAGGTCTTCGTCCTCACTGTCTATACATTGAGTAGGCTGAGGAGGAGGAGGAGGAGGAAGAGGAGGGATTGATCTTGCTGTCTCAGGGTGGCAAAAGCAAAAGAAAATCCGTGTATAAGTGGACCTGCACAATTCACACCCATGCTGTCCAAGGGTCAACAGTATTATAAGGCTGGGAGTGGTAGCTCACACCTGTAATCCCAGCATTTGGGAGGCGAAGCCAGGTGGATAGGTTGAGCCCAAGAGTTTGAGACCAGCCTGGGCAACATGGGGAAACCCCGTCTCTACAAAAAATACAAAAATTAGTTGGGCATGGTGGCTTACAAACAGTTCTTGAACTGATAGTAACAGGCTTAACCATTACTAGCAGCCAAACGGCTATTTAAACATACCAAGATTTCTTAGTTAATTTTCTTTTTTTTGAAATGGAGTCTTTCTCTGTTGCCCAGGCTGGAGTGCAGTGGCACAATCTCAGCTCACTGCAACCTCTGCCTCCCGGGTTCAAGTGATTCTCCTGCTTCAGCCTCCCAAGTAGCTCAGATCACAGGCACCCGCCACCATTCCTGGCTAATTTTTTTATATTTTTAGTAGAGATGGGGTTTCACCATGTTAGCCAGGCTGGTCTCGAACTCCTGACCTCATGATCTGCCCGCCTCGGCCTCCCAAAGTGCTGGGATTACAGGCATGAGCCACCACGCCTGGCCTCCTAGTTAATCTTAACCAACAGGATAACCTGTGTCACATCAGATATTGAAAAATATATGTTTTTTTTAAAAATGAAATTTCAAGCTTAATTTGCTTGCATGGTATATGTTTGGCCATATTTTTCTCTCTGGCTCATTCTATAGTCACAAAGGCTGTTGCACAGTGACTGCATGGTGCTTGGAATAAATGAGATGCATTATACAGCTTTTGATTTTCTAAGGCGGCTGGCTAAGTTACAACAACTTCGTGTATCTGGGGGCTTTTGACATAGGTCCAATTAAAACAAAAACTTCTAACAAACCCTGGAGAAGGTTCCATTCAGCAGGATGAGCTAACCCCCAAAACAGTCACTTCTGGCAACTTATCCTGCTTAGGTTGCAGCTGTCGATTTGGTAAGCAGTCTGGTCTGTTGGTTGGCAAAGTGCTGTGAAAGCAGATGTGAAACTCCAGGACACACACACATACACATGCTATGCACACACACAAGGTTACAATCACTGAACTCAAATAAGAGACTCATCTTTTTACAAATTGAAAATGAGTAAGACTGCTTGTCTCAGTGTCTATTATCCTAATCCAAATGGCATGCAGACATCAATTGGAGCATTTGTTAGCTATTCAACTTCCAAGACTAATTCAAAAATTACAATAAAGAATAGAAATTTTAGGCCAGACATGGTGGCTCACACCTATAATCCCAACACTTTGGGAGGCCAGGGTGAGAGGATCACATGAGCCCAGGAGTTCAAGACCAACCTGGGCAACATAATGAGACCCCGTCCCTACAAAAAAAAATTTTTTTTTAATTATCCTGGTATGGTGGCAGGCACCTGTAGTCCCAGCTACTCAGGAGGCTGAGGAAGAAGAATCACTTGAACCCAGGAAGTCAAGACTTCAGTGAGCCATGATCACACCACTGCATTCCGCAGCCTGGTGAATAGGATCAAAAAAAAACAAAAAAAGTAGTAAATCACAGAGTACCCAAAAGGAAAATGCATTCTTAAGGTCTGGTTTCTTAGCAGTAACCTTCCATTCCAGCCCCCTTGCTTACCATATAAAGGCTTAAAGAGACAATGTGACCCTGCCTACCCTGCCAATGCAACTCTAACCAGAGGGCACGCTTCACAACTTCCATAGTATAGCAGGGCTCCAGCAATCTCCAGAACAGGATCCTTGTTAACAGGGCAATGAAATTCACACACTTAAACCAAAGGGCCTTATTTCTCTACGCAGACAGCAGTATATTTGATACAATTTTGAAATATGCATGTCAGGTCAATTCTCATTCTTCTATTTTTTAGTCCTTACTTTTTAAAATGCAAGCTTTAATAACTTAGGTAGAAATCTTTTACTGGAAAAATAGCTTTTCTTTTTCATGAAACTAAGTCTATACAAGGGAAGAGGACATGAGTGTTAGTTTAGCTATGTGGGAAATGTCCTTCCAATAACCCCTCCCCAAGAACTCCTTTGTATCTACCCCATAATGACACAAATGCTACTTGCATTGCTCTAAGAGATGTTGCTGTTGAGATTCTCACAGTTAGCAATGGAGGCTCCTGATCTGGTTGCATAGACAACCAGGAAATAAGTGACTTCAGGGCCTTGGAAATAAGTTATCGGGTCTATTGAGCCCAAGGATACAATGTTTCTGGGTCTCAATTCTTTCATCTCTAAAATTATTTCCCGCTTATTCTACGCATAACTCTCTTTATTCTCATTTATTCTACACACCATTGCCAGATTGATTTTCCTAACATTACCTCTGATCTCAGCTTTGCTCTGTTCAGCGGCCAGTCTTTACCCTTAGCCTGACATAGAAACATTTCATCCACAACTGAGACCTGCTGGTATAAAATGTCAGCCAATTGTTTAGCAATTTTCCTCTCAAATCCCCCTACTTATACTCTGCCCTTTAGCCAAAGTGGACTGTTTCTGTTCTCAGTGTATTTTTACACTGTTCTTTCCCCAATCTCAGTCTTGTAACTCTTTCAAGTCTCGTATAACCCATTTCAACTTTTGCCTCTTTAATCAAACATTTTTCGGGTCCTCCAAGGATGTGTGTGGTCCTCCCTCTTTAAATAGGTACCAAACTTTTTACTTCTCTTAACAAGGTCTGTATTACTCCTAGAAGTGTGTGTACTTATTTCAATCCCATCTTCTAGTTAACGGTAAGCTCCTCAAGGGCAGGCAACATGTCTTAACCTTATATTTGTGCCTATAGCCCAACCTCTACAGCACAGCATCTTCCCCAAAAAGGATATCTGTGGGAATAAACTGAATCTATATGTTTTCCATTTATTCATAAACAAGCGAAGGAGTGACAGATATTAGATAGGGCTATGCAAGTGAAGTATTGAATAAGAAGGACCATGGAGAACTGTTGTCTTTGTTCTCTTTAGAGAAGAAAGAATATCTCTCATCCAGTCCTTGTGCTAACCTGTTACTATCCCACACCATACCAGTGAGATCAAGAAACAACAAAAGAGAAAAAAGGGACTTCGAATTTCAACACCATGTCACCTACAGAGTGAAGGGACTTCACTTGTTCCCAGCAGCATCCTTAGAGAGTTAGTGAATAGTGGGAGAAATGCAGAGAGAGGAGTTTGGAAGGGGTGGGGTGGCTCCTAATCAAGAAAGTGGGGGCCGGGCAGGGGCTGGTAGCATGGGAATGAGAAGAGAAAAGAAAAAATGGGCCACACCAAAACACTGAACTGGGGAGGAAAGACCTTCCTGTGTGCAGCTGAGGGCTGCTGGAAACCTACGACACAGCTCTGCTCTTCTTATAACTTAACCTCTGTCCTCGTCTCCTTTTCCATGAGATTCCATGGAGGCAATGATAGTCAAAGCACTTGAAGATTCTTGAATTAAAAGGCACTATGTAAAGACAAAGCATTATTATTATTATTATTAATTAAAGGAACTTGTCATAGACAGAAACAGACACCGCAATGCATAATTTTTTAAAAAAATGAATACCATGCTGTCAAATTGGATACTGACTGGCTGTTAGATAATTTGGCAACCATAGCGGAGCAAATGTTCAGGAGAGGTGAGTATTTTTCCACTATTCCAGAAGGCTGGAAGCATAAACAGCAACAATTTTTGCATCAATCTTTCAGTCATGTCCATCAAATTAGGCTTTCAAGTTTAATGCTGAATAAAATACCCTAAACACAGCAGAGAGCAAGCCCAGACAGAACATCTTGAAAGTGGTAAAGCTGAAAGAGAGAGCGTGCACATTCCACGTGAATGTTTCAGCAGTGTCAGAAAATGCAGCACATTAAAAAAAATCAGTCAGTGGATGTCTTCAGTGCATTCCCTTTTCATAGTCCAAAGGGAATTTACGTTTTAACTGTGGGATGCACTGTCATAGCTGCTTAGGCAGAGTGGTTAGTATCAGAAGGGGGAAGAGCAGTTAGCCAAACACCCTGTGCTCTACGATAAACTGGGGCACTCCAAGAGCAGGGAAAACTTACACAATAGGTGCGTGCATCACGTAGCCCAGCTCTTCATGCCAACCATCAGCACAAGGCAACCTCAGCTGTGTTTGTCTGGATTTAGGACCAAGGGCATAGGTCGGGGGAGTGGAGGGTGGCGTGTAGCCACAAACTTGCCCACAAGCAAAGGGATTAGCTAATAATAGTTGTGTTTATACCAGGGAGGATTGAAGCCACAGCAGAAGGGAAACTAAAGACATTAAATTTTAGTGGAGCTAATTTTGGAAGAATGGGGAAAGTGCTGAGGGAAATGAAACAGGATAAAGCTGTTGAGGAGAAAGCCACGGAGGAAATAGAAAGTGTTCAGAGATAAATTAATGCATGACCAAAATCACTACAAGCTACCCAGTCATAAATATTCCAGCAGGGGGAAAGAAGGCCAAGGTGGATTAAAAGTGAGAATCAATGCTAAAAGAAACAGAAGTGCTGTATAATATGAATTTGTGGAAGTAGAAGAAATCAAGGATTGGCTAAAATACAGTGACTGAATGAAAGTCAAATGTAGAGAGGTAAATCTTTTGTTGGACAAACCCCACTGTTTACTTCTCTGTACATTTCGCTTCAAGTTCCCTTCCTGCCATCCTATAAATACTCTTATTTGTATTTTTCTGTCTGGCATCCACTTCAACTCTCTTGATTCACATCATGTTTACTCCCATATGTTCTTGACTGAAGGTAGGGAGTTGTTGTATTTGAAGATGGGTTGGGGGGAACCTACCCCAGAGAAAATACTAAGGCCTTAAGCAATGGCTACCCTGCCTGTTTTTTTGTTTTTTTGTTTTTTGTTTTTGTTTTTGTTTTTGTTTTTTTTGAGACAGAGTCTCACTCTATCACCCAGGCTAGAGTGCAGTGGCGCGATCTCGGCTCACTGCAACCTCCGCCTCCCAGGTTCACGCCATTCTCCTGCCTCAGCCTCCCGAGTAGCTGGGACTACAAGTGCCCACCACCACGCCTGGCTAATTTTTTGTATTTTTGGTAGACAGGAGGTTTCACTGTATTAGCCAGGATGGTCTTGATCTCCTGACCTCGTGATCTGCCTGCCTCGGCCTCCCAAAGTGCTGGGATTACAGGCGTGAGCCACCGTGCCCAGCCTACCCTGCCTGTTAATAATGCCCCCTCAGCATCAGAGCAAGAGCTGAGAGAAAGGTTTCGTAGTTGAGCTGTAGACAATAGACAAGGTCTTGTTATGGAGAATACAGAGTCACTGAGGAGGGCACATGGGAGTTTGTCTACCTTCCTCTTCCCTTAGGGACACTCCTTGCAGTTCAACATGGAAAAGTCACATCTATCTGTGTGGTTTTGCACAGGGGTGAGGAAGGCACAAGAGACCTACAGCTTTAAGCCTTAACTTCCTCATAAGTAGGTCAAGTAGAAGTCTGCAAATTAAAAATGGAAATCAGGAAGGTACAAAAATTATACCTCGTGGATAAATTACCAGCAAATGACTCCAACTCAGCATGGCCAAAAAGGAAAACATAGTAAAAGGAAACTTCTGATCTGTAGCAATGAAATATACTTATCAACAAGCACTCATACTCTATCATCCAAAATAACTTGAGTTTTAATATGTCATTTTAATAGAGTTTTGGGGTCTCAGTTTGGTGGATAGCTTTCTTTTGGTATGAAGATTCTAGAAAATGTTCTAGGTACTAGTAGTTACTACTTCCAGGCAAACCCTTAAGACCCCCGTCTAGAGGCTCTGTGGGGAGTGGCCACAGGTTGGGAATCCCCAGTGTGCTCCACCGTCTTTGTGTGAGCTACACTTGGAGGAGCGTAGACATGGCTGGACCTTCCACATCTTTCTTTCACAATAGAGAGAGTGATTTCTTCACTGAGAAATCTGGTGCCTCAGAGTACCAGAAAACAGAGTAGGGCTTGGAGCCAGCTTGAAGACTAAGGACAGCAGGCTGATTCTCAGATTCTGGGGAAGGCTCAGGGAGAACAGACTATGCTTGACTAAACTGATATCCTAGCTCATAGTATGTCAATAACAGGAAATTAGAAGATGACTGTACTGGGTTGAATTGTGTTCCTTTCCTAAAATGGATGTCCATCTAGAACCTCAGAACATGACCTTATTTGGAAAGAAGTTTGTGGCAGATGTAATTAAGATGAGGTCATAAATTCAATGACTGGTGTCCTTATAAGAAGGCCACGTGATCATGTCTCTGAGTAGCCACTGCACTCCAGCCTGGGCAACATAGAAAGACCCTGTCTCCAAGGAAAAATAAAGAAGGCCACATGAAAGCATGGTTATGGACCACCACACCCAGAAGAAAGGCAACTATGTGATGACAGAGGGGAAATTGAAATGATGGCTCGGCACAGTGGCTCACACCTGTAATCCCAGCATTTTGGGTGGCCAAGGCAGGCAGATTGCTTGAGCTCAGGAGTTTAAGATCAGCCTGGGCAACATAATGAAACCCCATCTCCATCAAAAAAAAAAAAAAGAAAAAACACATGAAATTAGCCAAACATGGTGGCATGCACTTGTAGTCCCAGCTACTCGGGAGGCTGAGATAGGAAGATGACTTGAGCCTGGAAAGCAGGGGTTGCACTGAGCCATGATGGTGCCACTGCACTCCAGCCTGGGTCAGACCCTGTCTCAAAAAACAAAGAAAGAAATTGAAACGATGCAGCTACAAGCCAAGGAATGCCAGCAACCAGCAAAGGCTAGAAAGAGGCAAGGAAGGATTTTCCCTAGAGCTTTTAGAGGAGGTATGGCCCTGCTGATTGACACCTTGATTTTGAACAGCTAGCTTCCAGAACTGTAAGAGAATAAGTGCCTATTGTTTTAAGCCAACCAGTTTCTAGTACTTTGTTATGACAGTCTTAGGAATCTAATACATGGGCTATGACAGGAAGATATTCTGATAATAACCAGGAAATGGAATGAGGGAACAGTCAGAATAACTACGAAAAGCTCTTCCAAGGACAATAAAAAGCACCACTTCCCAGAGCCTTTTGCCACAGAATAAACAACTCAGTGTAACCCCTACAAACAGTTGGTGGTAAAGGGAAAAGTCAGTGGACATTTAAAGTTTTGAGTCTGCAAACAATTTTGATGAGCATGAAAATAATGTTTTAAAGGCCAGGCGTGGTGGCTCACACCTGTAAGCCCAGCACTTTGGGAGGCCAACGCGGGCAGATCATGAGGTCAAGAGACCGAGACCATCCTGGCCAACATGGTGAAACCCCGTCTTTACTGAAAATACAAAAATTAGCTGGGCCTGGTGGTGTGCGCCTGTAATCCCAGCTACTCGGGAGGCTGAGGCAGGAGAATCGCTGGAATCCAGAAGGCAGAGTTTGCAGTGAGCCTAGATCAGGCCACTGCACTCCAGCCTGGTGACACAGCAAGACTCCGTCTCAAAAAAAAAAAAAAAGAAAAGAATGTTTTAATCCCCACTGGCCAGATATACTGCAAAGGGAATGGCAGGCAGGGACAGCAAAGAAAGTGTCTTTTGTTTCCAAGGGGCAGTGTTTTTTGCAGCCCTCTGCTGGAAGCTATTCCTTCCCATCCAAAAGCACAGGGAGGAAATAAATGGCTCCTCCTAGCAGATTTTGAGTAGAGACCCAAGAGACCAACTGATTCCTGGAACCAGTACAGGAGGGTATTCTGACACTCAGAATAAGCCACAGAATTCCAGCTGGGAAGATGTGTGGGGGTGGGGCAATTGCCTCTAAGGTGTTCTTCTACATGTTCATGACCAATTCCTTCTTCTATTTCTCAACATGTGGTTACAACTCTTCATGACTTTCCTTGAGGTCCCCGGCCTTCTCCTCTGCCCTCTTGCTTCTTGGCTTTGTACATCCTTGCGTTTCACTTCACAGAGAAAATGCAGTCCTTCTACCAGGGAGTACCTCCACCTCCTGCCCTGATATGGTTTGGCTCTGTGTTCCCACCCAAATCTCATCTTGAATTGTACTCTCATAATTCCTATGTGTTGTGGGAGTCACCCGGTGGGAGATAATTGAATCATGGGAGCAGTTTCCCCCATGCTGTTCTCATGGTAGTGAACAAGTCTCACGAGATCTGATGGTTTTATCAGGGGTTTCCACTTTTACATCTTCCTCCTTCTCTCTTTGCCTGCTGCCATCCATGTAAGATGTGACTTGCTCCTCCTTGCCTTCTGCCATGATTGTGAGGCTTCCCCAGCCACGTGGAACTGTAAGTCCAATTAAACCTCTTTCTTTTGTAAATTGCCCAGTCTCAGGTATGTCTTTCTTAGCAATGTGAAAATGGACTAATACATGCTGCCTTTACTGCAAGTATTACACATCTTCCTCTTCTGTCTTGGAGTAATAGGTGCCCCCAACATGTATAAAGCCAAATTCTCCACCTGTACTCTGTATCTTCTAATCTTCTCAGGGACCTACTCTATCAATTACCTCCTCTTTCATGTCCTCAGCCTTTTCTTATTTCCTTCAGTATAAAATATATTAAATCCTTCTCATGTTAGAAAACCTCTCCCTGGCATGATAGCTCCAATTGCCTTTGGCAACCACTCTCTTCTATTCCTTTGCTTCTTAAAGATTCTTACAAGAACATCCTGCTTTCAGCAGGACGGTTTCCCTACCATCCTGCTTCAATCTAGTTTTTTATCCTATCACTACAATGAAACCATCCTCACCAACATGGTTATCAAATTAAACAAATATTTCCTAGTTCTTATCTTCATTGATAGCTCTGTGGTATTCGGTATTGCCCACAACCCCATCTCCTTGAAATTCTATTCTTTTTTTTTAACTTAAAGAACATTGGAAACTCTCTGCCCAAAGAATATCATTCACATGCACACCTAAATACATCCTGATGACTCTCAAATATATACCTAAGGCTCTGGTCTTTCTTCTTCATTCACATCCCAAAGGCCCTCCTAATTCAACAGGTTCAAAGTTAAACTCATCTGTCAGCTCTATTGTTCTCCTCCTTAGTTCCTTCCATTCCTTACTAATAATTCAGCTAAGGTTTCTTGAAGCGCCAAGTGTGTAGGTGCTTGGTCCTGAGCTTGCAGAGAGAAATAAAATCTCAGAGACCAGCAGGGGAGAAAGACAGGCAAATATCGAAGTCAAAGTTCAACAGTAGAAGCAAAACTAGAAGTAGTGGTATCATGGAAGAGAAGATGATTATTTGAATCAGGCCAGGAGTGACATTAGGTCAGAGTGCCAGGGAATGCTCCCAAAGATAGAAGAGATTATCTCTCCCCTCAAAGAGCTGCTGGCTTGTCCCAGTCAATGCCCACCACCACCAATCCATGACACTAGTCTGAATCTCAGGAGTTTTCTTAGAGTCAGCTTCTACATTGGATCAATTCCTATCAGTTCTACATGTAAAAATCTCTTAAAATTTTTATCTTGGACAATTCTATTTATCTCCTAATTGGCTTAAGTCCCATTTCACCCCCAATTCTACCTGCATGAGAGCAAGGAGTCCATCCACTTTGTTTATGCCTGTATTCGATGACTAGATCAATTTCTGCACTCAGTGGGTGCTCAGTAAATAGGTATTAAATGCAAGAATGCTTCAGAGTGATATTCCCATCACTAAAACCTAGACCTGATCATACCACATTACTCTTTATGAATCTTCAGGGCTCCTCAGTGCCTGAAGGAAAAATTAAAACTCGGCTTGGCAAACAAAGCCCTTTACGATCTGGTCTCTGCAGATTTTTATCAGCCTCCTTTTCACCGGTTCTTCTGTTCACCTTCCTTTTAGCCGCACAAAACTACCCACTGACATGTCAGCCAGGGTATCACACCCTTTCAAGCTTCTGTGCCTTTGATTTTACTGCTCCCTCTTCTGAAATACATTTACCTTTCTGGTCCTTAAGATAGACTTCTATTCATCTTTTAAGATGCAGTTCAGGCATCCTTTTATTTTTGCCATTCATTCTCTCTGACCAAATAAGGCCATGACTTGTCCTTGATCCTCTGTGTTAGAGCCTCAAGATGTTTATCACTAATTGTCTCTTTGATATATTTACATATCCTCTTCCCCAATAAAACTATGAGCTCCTTGAAGACAGGAACTGGGAGTCAGAACAATAAAATTGACCTAATTAACACGCAATGGTGTCACTCTTGGGTCAAAGAGAAAACCAGCAGTAGAAACAGATGCAGGCTGATGTAAAATGTGCCTTCTACCATACACATGTTGTTGTCTCCCTGGGTGAAGTTATATTATGTTTGTATAAGAAAGCAGTCAAGTGTGTAATATAGTTAGAAAGATTTTGATCAAAATGGTTTGGATTTTTAAAAATATTTGGGAGCTGACAGAAGATAAGCTTTAATTATCTAAAGACTCGTTGGTATGGAACACCTCATTCCTTTCCAAAGCTAGATATGGATATGTACAAATGTTGCAAAACATGCAGAACACTTTCAGAGCAAATGCAAGATGACAAACTCCACTGCTATGAGCTGCACTGTGGATCCCCAAAGGAAAAACTAGAAAGACCACGGATAAAAGCCACAAAACCAAGGAGACTACAAAACATTTAGCAGGAGAAGGGAAGGGGAGGTGACATTATGGAGGGGACAGATTTCTACAGGTCTAAAAGAGAACTTTCTTCTTTTAGACATAAAGGAAGACTGCTGCTTAGAAAGTGTTTTCAGAATCATGATACTTAGCATGCCTTTGACTCTTATAAATTGCAAAGGATGATTATGAATATTAACTAATTGATCAACCTGCAGAGCACTCTTTAGAATTCTATAGAACTGGACCCCAATTAAAAAGGGGCAAACATGCCTAGAGAAGTCCCATGAAATCTTGGGGTTGGGTCTGAATTCTCAGGAGCAATGAGATCTGCCCTTGCAGATGCAAATTGCTCAGGTCTTAGCCTTGGGCCAGTATCTCCCCAGTTCTGGAACCTTTTTGAGATGAGTTTAGTTGGTAAAGGATGGATATTTTTCATTTCAATAGTTGATTATTTATTTTAATATGCATTTAAACAATTATAAATAAAGCATCTTATTCATGACTTTCTATGCTTAACATGAGTAAAAATTTAAAAAGTAAGCCTATTCAAGGAAAAATAGTAATGGTGCTGACACTTGCCTAGGGAAAAGGCCACCCTGGTTATATATCAATATATTGACATGTCAATAACTGAAGTTTTGAGAAAAGCTGAGAGCAATGCTCACTCTTATTTTCTCAAATGTATGCCTGTCTGTTTAATCCTCATGTCTACAACTAAATGATTTTAAATTTGTGCAGTTTTTATTTCTGATGTGGAGTTAAAGGAAAACAGATAGAAAAGGGGGATGAGATGAGGACACAGGAAGCAAGTAAGGAAAGTTCTAAAACCATGCAAGCTCTGAAAACTGGTTAAAGAAACTAGCAGAAACAAGTGTTTTGAATGCAGCGTACACAACAGTCTGCATGAAGATGCAGCTCTATTTTATTTAGAATTTGGCTCTCTTGAGTGGCCTGGGGAGACAGGCATCTCATTTTCTGGAGGGGCCCGGAGAAACAGCAGTCACTCGGCATTCTTCTTGCCAACATCTCGCACAAATAGCACACAGCAGTGGCTCATTCTAACAACAGACAACACTACCGAGCACTCAGAGCCCTGTTCTCTCAGCAGAGACAAGGCTCCCGGAGGCAGTGACAAAAAGAAAAAAAAAAGGATTTTTTTTGGAACTTCCCTTCTTATTTCCTTTCTTCAAATTACCTCTTCTAATTGCATACATGGAGTTTACAGAAATTTAACAGGAGAAACCAGGATGGGAAATATATGAGAAGAAGTGACATAAAGGCATGTCATGTCAAATCTGCAGAAGATTGCTGAAGCAGGAACCAGTAATAGATCTGCCAGAATACAGATCTATGACATCACATTTCAGCCACTAAAGGATGCTGTGTGGTCTTTTCTAGAAGGATCCAACCACCGGCCCTTGGACATCTCTCAGCCTCATCTCTGCCCATTCCAGCTAAAGTGGTTCATTCTCGCAGTCTAGCTGGTATCTTATTTTTCATGACTTGGTCCAACCTCACTTCTTTCATAAGACTTCCCTGGTTCCCGTGGTCTGAGTCAGATGCAATGCTCTGGGCTCCCATAGTGCCTTCCTCTTGCTTTCCTTCCTACCTTCCTTCTTACTTCCTTTATTAGATCCTTCAGCAAATATTTATTGAGCACCTACTATGTTTTGATGACTGTTTTAGGTGCTAGAGCTATGATAACAGGACCCCTCTTCTCATGGAGAATCCATGGAGAGGGGTCAGGTTGGGGAATAAAACACAGCCCCCTCAAAAGCATCCCAAATTATAAACAACATAATTTTATAATAAAAGTTCTGTAATGGCAATAAAGAGAGTTATGCGTCATGATCTAAAGAGGGTCATTTAGTTTAGGTGGGGTAGACAGAGAAGGCCTCTCTGAAAAGATCATTTTAAGCTGAGATCATGATGATACAAAGGAGTCATAAATGAAAAGATCTGGAAGGTTAGCAGCAACAACATATGCAAAGGTTCTAAGATAAGGAAGAGCTCTCAGGTGTTTCAGGAACAGAAACAAGACCAGTGGGGCTCAAGTGGAGTGGGTCAGGAGGTAAGCAGGGGCCAGGTCCCATGGGGATTTTTCGACCATGGTAGAGCACAAGGATTTTATTCTAAGGGCACCTTAGAAACCACCTACATAAATGATGAGATGGGAAGAACTTATTAAATTTACTTAGGGAGCCATTTTGAAACTCTCTTGTTTACCAAACATGCTGAGTCCACAGGTCTGGGGAGACCAGGTAGATACATTTGTGTCCCACTGACCAACACGCTCTGTAGACACATCGAACTTGACATGTTCAAAACCAAACTTATTACCTTCCTTTCACTCACCCTTCATTCCCCCAACTCCAGCCCAAGTGGCTTCTGCTGTATCCTATTATCAGCATCCCACAGTCATCCAAGTGGGAATTCAGAGTCATCCTTGATGCCTCCTCCACCTTCCAACTAAATTCAATCAGACTAAGTCCTGTCAGTTTTACCATCAAAATCTCTCTTGGAATGGTCCCTTCTCTCCTTCCTCACTGCCAACTGCATTCATCTAGTCTCCCATCATCTCTCCCCTGATATTCGTGATAGTCTCCCAAACTTGCTCCTGGTCTTCATGTTCAAGAGATTGTCCACATTGCAGCCAGTGTTCTCTTTCAAAAACAGGGAATGCGATCACAGTGGTAGGCCTCTGTCTAGGGGGAAGTACACTGACACTTTCTTTCTAGATATTGCTGACCTTCTTGCCTGTTTGATATCAGGGATACCTCCATGTGCTTACAGGATAAATCTCAAGTCCTTATTATGGTTTTTCAGGACTTTTTGTGTCTGACTCAACTTATGTGCCTGATGCCTCCCTAACATCCTACATCCTACGATCACTTCTTGCTTCTAGAATACTCCCTGCCTTTTCCTGTCTCTCTATCTTCACCCAAACTCTTTCCTCTGCCCAGAATTCTCTTCTCCCTGAGCAAACTTCACTTGCGTTTTAAGTTCCAGCTGAAATGATTCCTCCCATAGAAGTGTAGGTGGTCCATTATCAGTGCCTCTGCATATAGCACTTAGCACTTTATATTTTTAGGGCTTCTCGTCTTGGTTATAAATCTTTGTATCCCCATGAGCTTATCAAGAGCAGAGATTAGGTCATGCTTATCTCTTTATTTCTAGCACTTGATACCGTATCTGGAACAAAATGCATGGAACATATTTGTTGAAAGGATAAACCAATGAATTACTTTTTCTCCCTCTGCCCCATTTGCCATATATTTTGATATCCAAGCCCACCTTTGCAAGTAAACAACAACAACAACAAAACACAAATAATATGCAAAATGTCAAGCCATTTCTGTTCAATGTCCGCTATGGATACTTCCTCAGTCACAGCTTTAAATAATGTGAGGTGATGCTAAACTGGAATTATCTTGGCACGGTAAATGCATCTGAGATTTAACTGAGTTTAGGCCCAAAGATTTCATTTTTCAAGGAGTTTGCCAAAATGGCTAAAACAGAAACAAGCAGACACTGCTTTAAATATGGGTTGCTTCCTCTTTGTTCGAGGAGTTACTGGCCCACTTTAAAATGGGTGAAAGCTCCCCAGAGGAAGAAAGCAATGATCATTCCTTTTTGTTTAACTACAGGTAGAACAGCTACATGGAGACCCCGAAGCATTTGAACTCTTTGTCCTGGCACTTTTATTCAGGTTTACCTAATGTAGTGCTCTGCTAAGAACGTGCTAATGAAAAAGTGGCGTTATTAATGTTTGGCTGTGCTTAGAAATCCAGGCAAGAAGGTCAGCAATATCTGGAAAGAAGATGTCAGTATATTCCCCTTAGGCATGGGTTTACCCACTGTAATCACAAAACAGAACACGGAAAGCATAGGCTGGGCTGGAAGACTTGATGCACAATCACATTGAAATACAACCAAACCCTACGGAGACAGGGGGTGCCGTTGCACAGAAAAGATCCCCGTGAAGATCTCAAGATCACTTCAGTCGTTCAGCTGTGTCCATCTTTGTCTGGACAATAGAAAGGCAGCTTCACTGAGCTGTGCTCTCGTAACTTCTGGATGACTCCAATCCCACACTTGCAGGTTTCCATTTTCTCAGCTATAAAATAGTGGAATTGAGGTCTAGGAGAGTATGCCTCTGAGTTTAGAGGAGCCAAAGATTGCTGACAAGGGGGTGTGTTCCATGTCATGGAAGGCTGCACAGAAGCTATAGGCTTTGAGCAGTACCTGGAAGAATGCACAGGACTTCAAGAGAGGAGTTAAGAGAGGAACAGTGTCAATGTGAAGAGGGCAGAAGATTGTTCTGAGTTCAGTGAGTAAACCTATTTGGAGAAGAGCTAAGTCCTACCATATCTGTTATTTAAATCTTTTATCTGCTAACATTAATCAACATTCTTCTATAGTGCCTTGTACTAGGAGCCTGGGGTGGCAAAAAAAAAAGAGACATAGTTTATATCCCCGAAGGAACTCATAGTCTATGGAGGAGACAGACTTGTGAACAAGTTCAGAGCAGTGTGATTGATGCTACAATAAGAGGTGTAATCAAATGCCTTGGAAGCACATAGAGAGGACAGCCTGACTGCCCAGAAGAATCACAGAAAGTTTTATGGAGGTAGTGACAATTGGAGAGGTCTTGAAGATGAGCTGGAGCTCGCTAAGTGAGGCAGAAAGAGAGCTCCAGCTAAGAGCCCCTTGTCGTTGCTCAACACAAGCCTTCAGGTACTTAACAGTCTCCTCAATGCTTCTCATATTTGCCAGACTCATTTTCAGCCCACTCATATGCTCATTGCCCATCGTGTTTGCCAAGCCTGGGATGCCCATTCCAAAATGCCCAGGTCCATCACCTCTCTGAAGCTTGCCATGTGATCTCTTCAACTTTGTTAGCTAGAGAAACGATATGCACGCTGATACACCTGAGTTGTCCAGAGATGAGGCAAAACAGGGTATAGCAGTGTGAGGGCTCATACAACCCATGCAAACGAACTGCTCATTCAGGCCCATCTACTCCTGTTCCCAAAAACATTCCAGGAAAATGCAATGCCAAGTTAACAAATGTCTGCCACTATTCCAGCCCACAGTGTTCCCTCCGTGTTTGGAAATTCTAAAACACCCTTAGTTTGTACTGCCAACTTAGCATACATAAATGTATCCTTTTAAAAATAAATGCATTATTTTTATTGTTTCTTCTGTGTTAGTTGTATCTCACTAACTAGACAATAGTTAGTTGGACAGTTAGTTGTATCTCACTAGACAATAATCTCCTTCATGATGGCAACCAAGTCTAACATTCTTCTATAAGTAACATGACCCTATGCCCCCAGGCACCAGTGGCAACCCCAGTTACAACCAGTTATGTGTCCTACTTAGAAGCTTCCCACTAACCAGCCCTGTACTCGAAATATTCATCTACTCAGTTGTAGGCACACTGAAAATATTTGATTAATTGATTTGCTCCAAATGTTCACGAATCCCCTCGTCCTAAAGACAGAATGTCCCAGAGCATTTCCTCATCTGTAACAGCTGCTCAAAAGTGTTCATTGCATCTAATACTATTAATTTTACACGAATGACTTCTAAAGCTACATCTCTATCCCAGACATGTCACGTGAGCTTCAAGACTCCCATTGTCCTCTAATCCCAGGCACTTAATATGTCCAGAATTTATCCTCGCCACTCTGGATCACCCAGATACCTGCTCATTCTCCCTCATTTCCTATCTCAGTGATTGGCATCCATTCTGTTGATCAAGCCAAAACCCTGTGAGATATCTTCCACTTCTAAGTAGAAGGACCTACGATGACTCTGCTTCTTACTTTCTCGTATTACTTCCTTCCTTGATGATCACTCACTCAAAATCCTGTCGATTTCATCCTTTAAATAGCTCTTGAACACGGCTGCTCTATTTCAGATTGCCATCATCTCCTGTTTAGATTATGGTGAGGGCTTCCAAACACATTTTCCTGTTCGCAATCTTTCCAGTTTCTGGTCTATTTTCCACCGAACAGAGGGCTCTTTCTAAAACATACACATAATCATCTCACCCTTAGGCTTAAAAACTCTTTAGCGGTCTCACTTTTTTTCTTGGATAAAGTCCAAACTCCTCAATATGGTTCCCATTTACTTCTTTGACATCATTTCTCATTACCTTTATCTCTTTTTACTCTGGGGATTTATGCTACAGCCAGATTAAATACTCCAGGTTCACTGTGAATGTCTACTCTCATCTCCCAGCCTCTGCACATCCTCTGCCCCTTGCCTGAAACCCTTCCCTTGCCCCCCCATCTTTCATAAGGTGAACTCTTTTTATCCTTCAGCACTCCTCCAATCTTACTCTGAAGGATTACACCCAGCCCCCAACCAGCAACTGGAATGACCTAGCTAAAACGCATATCTAACCACGTCACTTCTTTGATCGAACGATTCAGTGCTTTCTGATCTCCTACAGCATAAAATCCAAGCTCCTTACTACATTGCTGCAGATGTTGACGTCTCACTGTTCTGTCTTTGTGCTTCATGTTTCATGTGCCTAAATGCCCCTCCATATTTCAGGAGGGTGCTGGATTTGATCTTGGCCTTAACACTTAGTAGCTGGGAATTCGTATCTGTTTATTCTCAGTACAATGCGGATATTCTATCTAAATATTGCATCTATCTTAGACTTATTGTGATGGTATGAATTAGTATTTTATGCATTGCACATAATGAGCTTTCAATGAGTACTGTTCATGATCTTCATTATGTTTATTGTTGTTGATGTTCTAGGGATTGTCTCCTTCAAGACATTTTTCAACCCCAAGATTTCATTCATTCATTCAATAATATGTATACAGCCCCTGCCATGTTCCAGACACTCTGCTAGGCACTTGGGGATAAAGATTAATAAGGTAATCTTTGCTTTCAAGAATATTATAATGTAGTCCTCCTCTTCTGATACTAGTGGTAATCACATCACTTTACCATGGTGTACCAAAATCGTCTATTTATATCACTTGCTCCATGAGATTGTGTCATCCTCAGAGTCAGAAATGGATTTATTCACTTTTAGTCTCCCAATGCCTAGTATACTTCCTGGCACATGGTACGTTTTCAATTACTGTTTGTTGAACTGAACAAATACCACACTTCATCATTCTAGTCTTACTCAACTCTTGGCAAATATTCTGCAGGCAAGTCTCAAATTCATAAAAACTAGTTTATACCAGTTCCAAAATTTACTTTCTTGTTTCTGCTGTGCTGAAGAAAATAAAAATGTTACTGCACTATTTGTCTATTATTTCTGATTAATTTAGAAGTCTGCAGACTTTAGAGACAAAATATGCTATATAGCACCTTTTAAACTATGGAGGGAAGTAAAACAAGATTTATTTTGGCTAGGTTTTCTTAGCAAGCTCCATAAAGTAATCATTGTGTACTTTTCTGGAAGCACCAATAACAGTCCTGCACCATGGACAAATTTCAGCAAAGATCACAGAAACCTTGAGCCACCCATCCATCCACCCTTCTCACCCTCCCTTCTTTTCTTCCTTCATCCATCCATCCAACCAGCCAGCCAGCCAGCCAGCCAACCATTCATCCATCCATCCATCCACCCATCCATCCATCCATCCATCCATCTGTCCATCCATCCATCTGTTCATCCATCCATCCATTCATCCATCCATCTATCCATCTGTCCATCAGTCCAACCATTCATCCATCCTTCTGTCCATCTACTCACCTAGACAACTATTCATTCATCAACTAACTTCAACTAAGCATAAACTCTATGGCCAGAATGGTGTCTGGGCACTGAAGTCTTATGGATTTCAAGTATTTCTTATAGAATTTTCAGCATTTCAGTAGGAGTAGTGGAGAAGATGACATGGATGTCTGTTTTCTTCTTAACACATTTGTTATTGGCATTTTTGTTTGATCACAAACACTTTTATCTGAGTTTATATTAAATATGACATATTTGAGGAAAGTTACCTTTTTAAGAAAGAATTTTTTTTTTTTTTTTGAGACAGAGTCTTTCTCTGTCTCCCAGGCTGGGGTGCAGTGGCGTGATCTCGGCTCACTGCAAACTCCGCCTCCCGGGTTCAAGTGATTCTCCTGCCTCAGCCTCCAAAGTAGCTGGCATTACAGGCACATGCCACCATACCCAGCTAAATTTTTTTTAGTAGAGACGGGGTTTCACCATGTTGGCCAGGATAGTCTCGATCTCTTGACCTCGTGATCCGCCCACCTCGGTCTCTCAAAGTGCTAGGATTACAGACGTGAGCCACGGCACCTGGCCAAAATATTTTTTAAGTTGCTTTGAGAAAGCAAACGTGAGTGAACAGATAAAAGTTCTGAGAACTTAATGGAGCTAGAACCTTGGGACCTAATGAACAAATCAAGAGAAATGATGATGTGGTTCTAAGCTAAACAATGAATTCCCCATTGCTTACTTAGCAAGTTGTAATTATTACCAGTGCCACATGTGCTTATAACATTAACAAATCCAACCCCCTAGATCAAATCTAATTGACCTCGAATAATGGCAAAGAATAGCCATCATAGTAAAACGGAAATGTTTACCATTAACTTTTGCTGTGTTTGCACACTTTTCAGAAGCAACACATCAAGAATCACTTCCTTCTGAGAAAATTCCATAAGAACAATTCTACCACCATAGTCCATGGTGTTCAGCTCTCTCAAAGTCTGATCATCTCTTTTGAATTTTTTTTTAAAAAAAGGGTCCCCGCCTAGATATGTCATTTCCTGCATAGTTATAGAGCTCCATCTGCTGAACAAGGCATGGACCAGCACACTCTAAAGTCCCCAAATCTCAAGGGCAATAAAAAGATTGGATCAAATCTGTGATGACAAGGAAATGATCACACACTTAGTCTTGCAAGAGCTTCTTTACAAAAGCCCCAAGCAAGTCAGCCTTCATCTGAGATAGGTTAACATCAACAAGCAAAGGTTGTATTGTTGTCTTGCACAGTCTATTTCTATGGGGAGTATTAGCAATTTGGAGGAATTTAGGGCAATTCCCACACTTACCTATCTTCTTTCTACTGCACATTGGGATCTTCAGCCCCCAATCCTATATCAAATCAATACAAATATATTTAACTGTGAATTTCTGATGAAATCCTCCCGGAGCTCATTTTCCTTCTCTACTCCATTGCAACATTTTCCAGGTGTTTCCCTTGAGAATGGACCATCAGCACTTCACAGAGTACACTGCCCACCTGCTCTTCCAAAAGCTGCAACCCACAGGCTCAGCAGCAATATCTGACGTAATTATTACATGTGTCTCATCTTGAAATCTGCAGAGGCTGGCAAACAGGACCACCTCAGTGGAGGACCTTAGGGAGACCTTCCACCAAAGAACAGCCTTCAAGTCTTCTGGTCTCACTCATTGACTGAAAGATCTGAATTCCTCATTATTAATTATTCACTATTTCCTAGGAGTCCCTAAGGCTTTCTAGTTATCTGAAGAATGAAAATATTAGAGACATAATATGCTGAGAAAGGAAAAAGAAAGAACGAAAACACTGTCTTTTCATTTCTTATCTATGGATTTTACTTCCTCACCCTGAGTTCTACTCTGCGACTTAATTATTGTAGAATAATCTAATGGAATCATCAGCTCAATAGTTGGATGCCTCATGTCCTTTCACCTAGAAGCAGTTATCTGCCTGAAGGTAGTCATCAACAAGGAGACAGACTCCTGGGCAGAGACCCAGTGGGGAACCTCTGAGAGACTGTGCAAATCAGGCCAGCTTTTCCAAGTGCTGAAATGAACCTGCAGCAGCCTTGCAGGCAAAGGTATATTTTAGGACAGCAGCACTGCATATTTAAAAGTTAAATCCCCTGTTACACATTAGTGTTTCTCTCTGTTTCTCAGAGACAGGCAGACACAATCTGTTTCTCATTGTGTCTGATTGTCTCTGTGTGTCTTTTTCTGTTCTCTCTCTCTCTCTCTCTCTCTCTCTCTCTCTCTCTAGTTCTGTTTATCTCTTTGGGGTTCTCTCTCTCTCTGTCTCTATCCATCTACTTCTCCACTTCCCTCTTACTCTCCGTAGTGTAGCCCTTTTATTAAAACAATAAAATTCTATTGCCAAATAACTGCTACTAATTGGGTCACCTGAGCCAGTGTGCCCTACCCCATTCTTAGGTTGTTCTTCTTGTACTACAGAGACCTGAGCGAATACAGGTTTTAAGGGAGGAAGAAATTGATGTTTTTGTATCCTCAAGATTTAGATGCTCAAAAATGGTCTAGCTGTCTGCCAAAAGAAACGTGGAGAAGAAGTATGCCTCTGGGGATATGGAATGCCAGGTCTTCTAACCATGCCAAGTCAATAATCAGTAAACTGATAATGTCACAAGAAGTGATGTGAAGCTGAACCCCAGGTCACAGGCTCTCAGAAGTCAGATTCAGGCTATTCTGATAATTTTAGAAAATAGATAGTATTCAATCCATGTTATAGGGATGTTTTGAACCAGTCTTCTGGTTCAAACATGAAAACAGCTAAAGGCAACTTCTTGCATCTATCCTTCCCCCACGATCCTATCCAACAGCCACATCAACATCTGGTGGACATTGTAATCAGCCTTCATAATTGGGAGGAGGAAAGTGGAATGTTAGTATGAAAGAGCAGGAAAGATGATCAGAAATGATTCGCGGGGTGGGGGGCAATTGACAATTGGAGGGAAGTTTTTCTTTTCATGTCTTTTTCAACTAAGAATAAATATATCCTAAGTTGGGAAATGAGCCACTAAAATAAGCAAAAATTAATTGAATTTACTAATTTCTAAATAATAGGTCCAAAGAGAGAGTGTTTTTTACCTTTGAAATTGGCAAAGATTCTAAACTGAGAATGCCAAGTGCTGACAAAGGTATAGTGGAAAAGGCAATCTTAGGGCACTCATAAAATGGAAGCTTGGTACAACAGTTTTGGAAACAGTCTGATGGAACATTGAGCTCCTGGAAGTTTTTCATTTCCATTGACACAGTAATACAACTTCAGAGTAGAAGACTAAAAATACGTTCTGAAATAGATAAAATATTAATGCACACGGATGTTCATCATAACATGATTCATTATTGAATAAAGAAAGATAAAGTGGAAACAACTTGAATATCCACCAATAGGGAGATAAAGAAAAAAATCATTTGTGGAGAACTTTAAATATAGAGAAATGCTTATATATGATGTTAGGAGAAAAAAGCAACATACAAAATGGTCTAAACTACGATAATATGAGTAAGAAAAATTGAATGTGGAATTGTAAGCAATTTTTTCCTTCTGATTTTGTCATGCTTTAAAAATAAAGCAAGGATTTTTGAAAGCCTTACAAAATCTCTACAATATGCAAATATTGCTTTAATAATCAGGAAAAATGGCATTCTTTTGGCTGTAATCTGAGAGTGAAAGCCTTTCCAATACTTTGATTGAGACCTCAGAATTTAAACTCTTCTCACCAGTGCACAATGCTTGATTAGCTAAAATGTTCATTTATAGCATTAAAATAATCCTCTTAGTTCACCATAGTGCATTCTACTTTCATCCTCAGAAAACTGTGCACTTGAAGGCAGAAATTCACTCATATAAACCTTCCAACTAGACTCACCAACCAATTCTCTGAAGCACAGCTCTCTGAGAAAAGAGACTGTATAAATGTTTCCTTCTGAGATTCTTTGACTCTGATAACTTTCTATAATTATCCTTTATTGAATTAAATTACCACAGCCCTGATTACCCACCCACACATAGGATTTTCAAAAACCTTCTGGAGCAGTTTCCCAAATCCTCCAGGGTTTTCTGCAGTTGCAAAATCAGAGAGTTTAGCTAAACTGGATATTGCATGAAAATACACTGTTACAAGTTGGCTTACAAAAGTTCTCTGGGAAGATTTTACTAACTATATTTTGGTGAATAAATCGAACTGGGAAAGTGTTGCAATCATTTTCTGGGATGTCTGTATCTGGGAAAGGATACTCTTGCTAGAAACCTCCACTGGGGCCCTTGAGCTGGCCTCAGGGTGTCATGGGATGGTCATCATACCTATTTGCAGATAAATTTATCATGTTCTCACAGAACCTGTTGGTCTGATAACTCAACATTGTCTTAACTTTGTGTATCCTGGATGCCTGTATTTGTCAGATATATGTACTAGAAATATCTTCTCCTAGTCTGTGGCTTGTTGATTCATTTTCTTAACAGTGACTTTTAACCATTTTTCTGAAGTCCAATTTATTATTATTTTTTCTGTTAGTTTTAGTGTTTCTTTGTGCTTTCTAAGAAATATATCCCTGTCCCAAGGTCACAACGATACTATTCTATGTTTTCTTCTAGAATCCTTATGGTTTTAGCTTTTAAATATAGTCTACGATCTATCTCAAGTTAACTTTTGTGAGGTAGAAGGTGTGGTTTAAGTTGATTTTACCCCATGCATTTGTTCAATTGTTTCAGAACTATTTTGTTGGAAAAAAAAAAAGCAACTTCACTTTCCCTATTGAATTCTCCTGACATACTTGTTGAAAATAATTTCAACATAAATGTATGGGTTTATGAGTGAACTCTATTGTATTCCACTGATCTGTTTGTACATCCTTACACCAATATCACACTGTCTTGATTATAGAACTTAATAATGAGCCTTTAAATTATGTACTTGGTTCCAGCTTGGTTCTTTTTTTTTTTTCCTCTGAGACAATTTTGACTACCCAAGGCCCTTTACATTCCCAGATAAATTTTAGAATAAGCTCTTCAGTTTCCTTCTTTTTTTTTGAGACAGAATCTCGCACTGTCACCCAGACTGGAGTGCAGTGGTGCGATCTCGGCTCACTGCAAGCTCCACCTCCCAGGTTCACGCCATTCTCCTCCCTCAGCCTCCTGAGTAGCTGGGACTACAGGCACCCGCCACTACGCCCAGCTAATTTTTTGTATTTTTAGTAGAGATGGGATTTCACCATGTTAGCCAGGATGGTCTTGATCTCTTGACCTCGTGATCTGCCCGCCTTGGCCTCCCAAAGTGCTGGGATTAAAGGGTGAGCCACCGCATCCAGTCAAGCATTTCAGTTTCTACAAAATGTCTTAGGATTTTGACAGACTGTATTAAATCCACAGATAAGCTTGAGGATAACTGACATCTTAAGACTATTGAATCTTATTTATGAACATGGTATATATTTTGATTTCTTTAATTTCTCTTATAAATGTTCTGTAGTTTTCAGGGTGGAGATCTTGTCTTTCACTGACTTTACCCCTTAATATTTTACAGTTTTAGAAATCTGTTTCAAATTACTTTAAAACATTTTTCATTCTTCTAGTGTTTGCTGTTATTAGGGTGGTGGAAAAGTAATTGCATTTTTTTCCGTTAAAAGTAATGGCAAGAATTGCATTTCCTTTTGCACCAACCTAATATTTTATGTATATGCAGTTAATTCCTGCATATTGATCATGGACCCTGTTATGTCCGGAATTGGTTCCTTCCGGTGGGTTCTTGGTCTCGCTGACTTCAAGAATGAAGCCGTGGACCCTCCTGGTGAGTGTTACAGTTCTTAAAGATGGTATGGCCGGAGTTTGTTCCTTCAGATGTTCAGATGTTCCAGCGCTTCTTCCTTCTGACGGGTTCATGGTCTCGCTGACTTCAGGAATGAAGTGGCAGACCTTCGCAGTGAGTGTTACAGCTCTTAAAAGTCACGTGTCCGAACCCCGTCTCTACTAAAAATAGAAAAAATTAGCCAGGCATGGTGGCAGGTGCCCATAGTCCTAGCCACTCGGGAAGCTGAGACAGGAGAATGGCCTGAACCCAGAATGTGGAGCTTGCACTGAGCCAAGAGCGTGGCACTGCACTCCAGCCTGGGCAACATGAGTGAGACTCCACCTCAAAAAAAAAAAAAAAAAAAAAATTGGCATGTCCGGGGTTCTTTGTTCTTCCCAGTGGGTTCGTGGTCTTGCTGACTTGAGGAATGAAGCTGCAGACACTCAGGGTGAGCGTTACAGCTCATAAAGGTAGTGCAGACCCAAAAACAGAGCAGCAGCAAAATTTATTGTGAAGAGCAAAAGAAAAAAGCTTCCACTACATGGAAGGGCACCCGACTGGGTTCCTGCTGCTGGCTCAGGTGGCCAGCCTTTATTCTTTTATTTGGCCCCACCCACATCCTGCTGATTGGTCCATTTTACAGAGTGCTGATTGGTCCGTTTTTACAGAGTGTTGATTGGTGCATTTACAATCCTTTAGCTAGACACAGAGTGCTGATTGGTGCATGTGCAATCTTTTAGCTAGACATAAAAGTTCTCCTAGTCCCCACCCGACCCAGAAGCTCAGCTGGCTTCAACTCTCACTGTGACCTTGCTAAATTTACTTATTCTAGTACAGATTATATCCAATTTACAATGATTTGACTTATGATTTTGTGACTTTACAATAGTGCTAAAGCAATATACATTCAGTAGAAATTGTATTTCAAGTACCCATACATCCATTCTATTTTTCATTTTCAGTATAGCATTAAATAAAGTACATGAAGTACTCAACACTTTCTTATAAATAGGCTTTGCGTTAGATGGTTTTGCTCAACTCTAGGTTAATAAGTATTCTTGGCACATTTAAGGTAGGCTAGGCTAAGCTATAATGTTTGGTTGGTTAGATGTATTAAATGCATTTTTGACTAACGGTATTCTCAATTTATGATGGGTTTATCAGGATGTAACCCCACCATAAGTCAAGAAACATCTATAGTTGTTTTGTAAAATTTTTAAGGCATTTTCTTTATAAACCATCATGTTATCTGCAAGTAAAGATCATTTGACTTCTTTATTCCCAATATGTGTATCATTTTTTCTTATAGTTTTATTAACATAAAGTTGTACTTATATTTATCTAAAATTTTTGATAAAGACGTTATTCACTACTAATAGTTAGGAAAATGATGGAGACTATGTCTTTGCTTGAGCCACATATCAGACAGTCACATGTCACGTGTAGATAGGAAGATATTCTGAGAAGAAAGTGGGCTTCCTGAATGCAGATTTGAGAGCAGAAACCACTCTCATTTTCTCAAGATGATGATGAAAGGCAGTTTATCTCAGCCCACATGAAGCATTTACAGATTATATTACCAGTTTTGACTAAATAAGTCTTTGAATTTTGACCAGTATTTTAAAAGGTTTTCTGTAAGGAAACCAAAGACTGAATATAAAGCACCAAGAACCAACTTCTTCCTCTCCTAAAACTAGCTCTTTGAGAGACACTTTATGAAATAAAAACAATGCTGGTTTAACCAGATCTTATGATAAGTCACCTGGAGAGGTTGACTAAGAAGGAAAGCAGCATAAGCAACCCAGAGCCTAAGCGAATATCAATTACTATAGGCTGAATGGAAGAAATGAAACACTATGGGCATGTGACCCAGAACTCAGTTGACATCAGGGAAAAGGAAGGGCGGAGAGTGTTACAGCAGCTTATTATCAACCCCATAGCATGTTTTTAAAGAAGATGAGAGAACGGTAATATTCTAGAAGTGACAACGAAAGACCCCAAATAGCCAAAGCAATCCTGAGCAAAAAGAACAAAGCTGGAGGCATCACACAACCTGACTTCAAAATATACCACAAAGTTATAGTAATCAAAACAGCATGGTATTGGTATAAAAACATACACATCAACCAATGGAACAGAATAGAGAACCCAGAAACAAATTCAGTATTTACAGCCAACTGATTTTTGACAAAAATGCCAAGAACATACTCTGGGGAAAGTACATCCTCTTCAATAAAGAGTGCTGGAAAAACTGGATATCTATATGCAGAAGAATGAAGCTAGACCCCTGTATCTCACCCTATACAAAAATAATTTCAAAATGGATTAACAACTTAAATGTAAGACCCAAAACTATAATATTACTAGAAAAAATATAGGAGAAGCACTTCAAGACATTGGCCTAGGCAAAGATTTTATGGCTAAAACTTCCAAAGCACAGGCAATGCAACCAAAAATAGATAAATGGGATTATATTAAACTAAAATCTTTTGCACAGCAAAGGAAACAATCAACAAAGAGACAAACTGTAGAATGATAAAAAATATTTGCAAACTATTCACCTGACACATGACTAGTATCCAGAATATACAAGAAACTCAGACAACTTAACAGAAAAAAAAAATCCCATTAAGAAGTAGGTAAAGGATCTGAACAGACATTTATCAAGAGAAAACATACAAATGGCCAACAGGTATAGGAAAAATGCTTAACATTACTAACCATCAGTGAAATGCACATCAAAGCCACAATGAGATATCACCTCAGCCAAATTAAGAATGGCTGTTATCAAAATGACAAAAAAATAACAAATGATGGCAAGGATACGGAGAAAAGGGAACTCATACACTGTTGTTATAAATGTAAATTAGTACAGTTATTATGGAAAAACAAAATGAAAGTTTCTCAAAAAAACTGAAAATAGAACTACCATAGATTCCAGCAATCCCACTGCTGGATATTTATTTAAAGGGAAGAAAATCAGTATATCAAAAGGATACCTGCATCCCCCATGTTTATTACAGCAGTATTTAAAGTAGCCAAGATATGAAATCAACTTAAGTGTCCATCAGTGGGTGAATGGATACAAAAATATGGTATAATACACAATGGGATACCATTCAGCCATAAAAACAGAATAAAACCCTGTATTTGCAGCAACATGGATGGAACTGGAGGTCATTATGTTAAGTGAAATAAACCAGGTACAGAAAGACAAATATCACATCTTCTCACTCACATGTGAGAGCTAATTAAAAAAGTGGATCTCGTGGAGGTAGAGAATAGAACAAGAGTTACCAGAGGCTGAAAAGGGTGTGGGGAAGTGGTGGAGGTTGGGGGGATGAAGAGAGTTTGGTTAACAGATACAAACATACAGGTAGATAGAAAGAATAAGTTCTAGTGTTCAATAGCACAGTAGGTTGACTATAGTTAATAATTTATTGTATATTTCAAAATAGCTAGAAAAGAAGATTTGAAATGTTCCCAACAGGCCGGGTGCAGTGGCTCATGCCTGTAATCCCAGCACTTTGGGATGCTGAAGCGGGTGGATCACCTGAGGTCAGGAGTTCAAGACCAGCCTGGCCAACATGGTGAAACCCCGTCTCTACTAAAAATACAAAAATTAGCCTGGCATGGTGACGGGTGCCTGTAATCTCAGTTACTCAGGAGGCTGAGGCAGGAGAATCACTTGAACCCGAGAGGCGCAGGTTGCAGTGAGCTGAGATCATGCCATTGCACTCCAGCCTGGGTGACAGAGAGAGACTCCATCTCAAAAAAAAAAAAAAAAGAAAGAAAAAAGAAAAAGAAGAAAAAGAAATATTCCCAACACAAAGAAATGATAAATGTTTGAGGTGATGGATATGCTAATTACTCTACCTTGATTACTACACATTGTATGTAACAAAATATCACATGTAACCCATAAGTATGTACAAATGTCATAACATATACATATATGTTATGTTGTACATATGATATACATACATATATCAATACAAGAACAATTAGAAAGCAAAATCAAGAATGTTAGATATTTTCATATTACATCTTAACAGAAAGAATTCTTTGAAATGATACTGTCTCATTCTTTTAACACATAATATATTCAAAATTACTAGACCAATTAAAAAACACCTCATAGTTAACTTCATTTTATTTTCTGGCTATTTCAGTCAAAAGAAAGGTTTTATTTAACTTAGCTACATAATTTACTCATGAATCAAATTATTTTGGATATTTAATAGTTGGGAAAAGTATAATCTGAAATTTGTTTAGCTTAGAAATGCCCATTGATTTTTTCAAATTCTAATAGCATTTAGAAATATTTGTTCCTTCCACTTTAAATTATACACCCCACCCCTGCCCTCCGACTCTTGCCTTCTGTTTTCAGCCATACTTCTGGAAAAATCTGTCTCCCCTCACTGATCCCATTTTCTTTCTTTTTTAAAAAAACTTTTAGGTTGGGGGGTACATGTAAAGGTTTGTTACATAGGTGAACTCATGTCATGGGAGTTTGTTGTACAGTTTATTTCATCATCCAGGTACTAAATCTAGTACCTAATAGTTATCTTTTCTGCTCCTCTCCCTCCTCCCACTCTCCACCCTCAAGTAGACGCCAGTGTCTGCTGTTCCCTTCTTTGTGTTCATGCGTTCTCATCATTTAGCCCCCGCTTATAAGTGAGAACATGAGGTATTCGGTTTTCTGTTCCTGCATTAATTTGCTAAGGATAATGGCCTCCAGCTCCATCCATGTTCCCACAGAAGCATGATCTTCTTCATTTTTATGGCTGTATAGTATTTCATGGTATATATATGTACCACATTTTCTTTATCCAATTTGTCATTGATGGACATTTAGGTTGATTTCATGTCTCTGCTCTTGTGAAGTGTTGCAATCAATGTTCGCATGCATGTGTCTTTATGGTAGAATGATTTATATTCCTCTGGGTATAGACCCAGTAATAGGTTTGCTGGGTGGAATTTAGTTCTGCTTTTAGCTCCTTGAGGAATCGCCATGCTGCTTACATTGCTTTCCACAACTGTTGCACTAATTTACATTCCCACCAAAAGTGTTTAAGTCTTCCCTTTTCTCCACAACTTCACCAGCATCTGTTTTGTTTGTTTGTTTTTGTTTTGTTTTGAGATGGAGTCTCGTTCTGTTGCCCAGGCTGGAGTGCAGTGAGGCAGTCTTGGCTCACTGCAATGCCCGCCTCCCGGATTCAAGCGATTCTCCTGACTCAGCCTCCCGAGTAACTGTGACTACAGGCATGTGCCACTATGCCTGGCTAATTTTTGTATTTTCAGTAGAGACGAGTTTTCACCATGCTGGCCAGGCTGGTCTCCAACTCCTGACCTCAAGTGATCTGGCCACCTCAGTCTCCCAAAGTGCTGGGATTACAGGCATGAGCCATCACACCTCACCAGCATCTGTTATTTTTTTACTTTTTAGTAATAGCCATTCTGACTGGTGTGAGATGGTATCTTATTGCGGTTTTGATTTGCATTTCTCTAATGATCAATGATCTCATTTTCTTAAATCCCCTTCAGTTTGTAAACCACCGTGATTTGATTTCTGCCCCACTAAGGTTCTGAAACTGCTTAATAACCTTGCTGGTACATAATATTCTTTCCTTCCTGACTTCTCCACAGCTTTTGTTGTTGTTTACCATACCCATTTAAACGACACAAACACACACACACACATTTTTCCTTACAGTCTGCAACGTGCCACTCTCCTGGTTCTCTGCCTACAGTTCCATTTTAGGTTCCCTGGCAGACTTGTTTCCCTCTCTATCTTTAAAATACCAATATTCTTCAAGGTCCTGACTTGGTCCCCTTATATGCCCTCATTTTCAAAATATTTCCCTAAATATTCTCAATCTTGCTCGTAGCTGTAATTATCAGCTTTACCCTGATGAATCCCAAGTCTCTATTTTCAGCCCAAACTTCATTTCTGAGCCCCAGATCTGATATCCAACTGCCTATTTAACTTCTCCACTTGAGTGTCCAGATTCAACACGCCTCAAGCTGGACTCACTCTCTTGGCTCCCCTCCTCCACCCCACCTGCTCATCTTCCCATGCTCCTTGTCTCACATAAATAAGAAGTTCAGTCATTCTCAAGGAATCGCCGGGAAATCATCCTTGACCCCTCTTCTTTCTCCATGTCCCACATTCAACCAGCCACTAAGCTTTGCCCACTGGACTTCCTAAATGTCTCACAAAAGCATCCAGTCCCTTCCAAACCCGCTCTATTATCCCAGTGCAAGCCACGCTCATTTCTCACTTCAAGTATGCATCTGTGTTCTTGCTGCTCTCCGTACCCTGAGTCTTTTCTCTCCTTGTTCTCCACACTGCTACCAAACTGATATTCTAACTTGAAAATCTGATCCTGACACCTCCCTGCTCAAGACCATTAGGTGGCTCTGTACCGCTCTCGCAGCGAAGACCAGCTCTCTTAGCATTCCTTACAAGGCCCTGTGGGATCTGATTGGAGACGGTGCCTCTGGCCCCTTTGCATCCTGAACTTCCCCTGTCATAACAGTAAGCGCCTGATAATATCTCCAAACATAAGCCTTTGTGCTTTGCTTTTCCCAGCATCCTTGTGCTTGCGTGACTTTTCCGTTGTCAGAGGCATCTACTTTGCCTGGAGGAGAAGGAGGATTGTTAAAGCAGGAATTTAAAAAGCAGGAAACAGTCAATGTTCAGTGTTTCTTTTTTTAAAAACTTCTAAACAGGATTTTGAATATCTGAAGATATGTCCTGAGGGAATCAGAGAACAGAGTTTAGACCGTAAAAATAACAGAAGAAAGAGGATGAAAGAAAATGAAGCCTCCCCTCCCTACCCTGCGTGTAAGTGGAGATTGGGTGGAGGAGCAGGAACGTGATGGGGGAGGGAAGTGCATGGCCTTAGAGGAGGTGGGAGTGGGAATGAGAGGCCAACCTAGCAGGACAAACACACAGCAGTGGGGCAAGCATCAGAATCGCTAACTGTATAGTGAACAACACCAGGATTCATGTTAAAGCCCAACCAATGCCTGCTAACCATTCATTGCCATTCTAGGGCATACCACACAGTACCCCAAAAGGGTGCATCTTCTCCTTGACAGTTTCCATTATAATACGTAAATTGTTGCTTTCTCATTGAAATGTGTGGGTTGCTGCTCCCTTCCATTTATCAAGCGCTTGGAATACTCCTAAGTTTTTCCTCCAACAGAAGGTGATGGGACCCTGACACCCAGGAATGAAATGGTGGAATGGAAGGGACAGTGCCCAGCACTAAGACTGGGGTATAACTGGACGGCAGTGAGAATCATTCCTATCACACGCTTATTGCACAGTGTGCTAATAATTTCCTTGCTTTTCCTATCTCCCACGAGACTGTAAGCTTATAAGGGCGGAAATCATATTGATTTTGGTCAATATTATGCCCAGTGCCCACTGCAGTGCCTAGCACATTGTGAGTGCTCAGTAGACACTGATTGGTTAAATCAACAATTTAATGAAGAATGAGTGGTTTTAAAGACATTGATTTTAAAAGACATGGATTTCCTTTAAGTAGAGAGAATATCAAGATGGTGATGGCTTTTTATCCTAAGCATCTAAGGCCTAACACTTTTAAAAAATTAAGCAAAGGGACTGCACTTTAATAATTTTTAAGTAATTTTAGACTTTCCTGCTCTGTTGTTAAGACTTTCCAGCCTTTGAGGCCTATTTATAGTCTCCTGTTACTCATCATTCGGAATGCCATATATATTTGGTATTTAAAATGATAAAGGCATTTGGAATGACATCTAGCGAGTTAGAATAAGAACTCACACCAGCATCAGCAAATTCCTTTCCTTCTATTGGCAAGAAAAAGTTGGCCATACAGGAAATTATTATGTGACACTGTTTCCCTTTGTACTTATGGTACAAACGGAAAGGTCAATGATGACCCTCCGAAGATGTCCATGTCCCAGTCCCCAGAACCTGTGAATGTTACCTTATATCACAAAAGGTACTTTGTGAATGTGATTAAGGATCTTGAGATTTTGGGTTCTCCAAGGGCATAATGAAATCACAAGAGTTCCTCTAAGAGGGCGCAGGAGGGTCAGAGTCAGAAAAGGAAATGCGAGGATGGCAACAGAGATTTGAAGATGTCATGTTGGTGGCTTAGAAGATGGAAGAAAATGCTTTGGGAGGCCAAGGCAGGCAGATCGTTCAAGCTCAAGAGTTTGAGACCAGCCTGAGCAACATAGTGAAACTGTCTCCACCAAAAATACAAAAACTTAGCTGGTTGCGGTGCAATGCACCTATAATCTCAGCTACTTGGGAGTCTGAGGTGGGAGAATTGCTTGAACCCGGAAGGCAGAGATTGCACTGAGCTGAGATGGTTCCACTCCGCACTCCAACCCAGGCAACAGTGTGACATCCTATCTCAAAAAAAAAAAAAAAAAAAAAAAAAAAAAAAGGCCGTGAAGTGCAGGAAGCTGCTATAAGCCAGCAAAGTTAAGCAAGCAGATTCTCCAGAAGGAATACAACCCTGATGACACCTTTTCATACTTTTTCTTTAATGTCAAAGCTTAAAAAAAATTGTCAAAAATTGAACATATTTAAGGTGTACAACATAATTATTTGACATATATGCATTGTGCAAGGATTGCCACAATCAAATGAAGTAATGTATCACCATTCATGCTGTACATCAAACCCTCAGAACTTCACACTTTTTTTTTTTTTGAGACGGAGTCTCACTCTGTTGCCCAGGCTGGAGTGCAATGGTAATCTCAGCTCACTGCAACCTCCACCTCCCAACCTCAAGCAATTCACCTGCCTCTCAAGTAGTTGGGACTACAGGCACATACCACTCCACCCAGCTAATTTCTGTATTTTCATTTGACACACGGTTTCACCGTATTGACCATGCTGGGCTCAAACTCCTGACCTCACAATCCGCTTGCCATAGTCTCCCACTGCACTGCAACTACAAGCATCACAACATCTTTTTTTTCCTTCTGGACAATCTGGCGCCATAGCCCAAACGGGAATGCAAAGACACGATCTCTACTCACTGTAGGTCTGACCAGAATTGGTGGACTCTTGGTCTCACTGACTTCAATAATGAAACCACAGACCCTCCCCACGTGTGTTAAAAGCAGTATGTCCAGTTTCTTCCGTTTGTTGTTTGGATGGGTTTAGTTTTTTCCTTCAGACTTAAGTGATAAATGATACAGCTCTCAAGGCAGCTTGTCTGGAGTTACTCATTTCTCCCTGTGGGTTTGTGGTTTCAAAGGCCTTAGGAGTGAAACTACAGATTTTTAAGGTGAGAGTTACAGCTCATATGTGCACTACACACCCAATCACCTACAGCAAAATATATTGCCCACACTGGAGGAGAAAAAAAAAAAAAAACACATATTCCTCACAAAACAACACTATCCAATTAGATTGCCGCTGCTGGCTCCAGCAGCCAGCTTTTATTCCCTTATCCGGCCCCACCCACATCCTGCTGATTGGTCCATTTTACAGAGAGCTGATTGGCCCATTTTACAGCGAGCCCATTGGCCCATTTTACAGAGAGCTGATTGGTCCGCTTTGACATGGTACTGATTGGTGCGTTTACAAACCTTGAGCTAGACACAGAGTGCTGATTGGTGCATTTACAATCCTCCAGCTAGACATAAAAGTTCTCCAAGTCCCCGCTCATCTCAGGAGCCCAGCTGACTTCCCCCAGTGGATCGTTTTAGGGCTGCAGGCGGAGCTGCCCACCACTCCTATACTGTGGCGAGGGGCAGGGAGCATCTGTCGGGGAGCCCAAGGTGGGGGGTGTAGGCCTCGGGCATGGCGGGTGGGTTGTGAGCCCTGCCCCGTCGGGAGGTGGCTGACACCGGGGACGGGCCGGCGCGGGCGGGCCGGCAGTGGTGGGAAACTTGTCCGCCCCTCCCGGTGCAGGGCCTGTCGAGGCCGCGCCCACCCGGAACTTGCGCTGGCCCGCGAGCCGGTTCTCGCCTGCGCGTCTGTCTCCACGCCTTTTCCGTTCCCGCTCGCCCCTGTTTCTCCACACATCTCTGCAAATAGAGGGAGCCGGGTCTGGTCTCAGACAATGCAGAGAGTGGTTCCCACGGTGCAGCGGCGGGCTCCTCAAGCGCGGCCAGAGTGGGCACCGAAGCAGAGGAGGCGCTGAGAGGGAGTGCTGCCCGCACACTGTTACCTCTCACAAGCTCCGCCTCCCGGTTTCAGACCATTTTCTTGCCTCGGCCTCCGGAGTAGCTGGGACTACAGGCGCCTGCCCCCATGCCTGGCTAATTTCTTGTATTTTTAGTAGAGACAGGGTTTCACCGTGTTAGCCAGGATGTTCTCAGTCTCCAGACCTCGTGAATTGCCCGTTTCGGCCTCCCAAGGTGCTGGGATTACAGGCATGAGCCACCCCGCCAGGCCCAGAACTTCATCTTACAACTGAGAGTTTGTACTCTTTACCAACATCTTCTCGTTTTCCCCACCCCCAAGCCCCTGGTAACCACCATTTTACTTCTAAAACTTCAGCTGTTTTTAGATTCTTCATATAAGTGAGGTGATGCAGTATTTGTCTTTCTGTGTCTGGCTTATTTCACTTAATGTGATGTCTTCCAGGCTTATCTATGTTGTCGCAAATAATAGGATTCCCCTCTTTTTTCTTTATCCATTCATCTACTTTTTTTTTTCTTTTAGAGACAGGGTCTTGCTCTGTCACTGAGACTAGAGTGCAGTGGCACGGTCATAGCTCACTGCAACCTTGAACTCCTAGTTTCAAGCAATCTTCCCGCCTCAGTCTCATAAGTAGCTAAGACTACAAGCACAGACCGCCACACCCAGCTAATGTTTAAGTTTTTAGTAGAGGCTGGGTGCAGTGGCTCACACTTGTAATTCCAGCACTTTTGGAGGCCGAGGCAGGAGGATTACTTGAGCCCAGGAGTTTGAAACCAGCCTGGGCAACATGGCAAGACCTAGTGCTGCAAAACGTTTTTTAAAACTAGCAGAGCATGATGGCTCACGCTTGCAGTACAAGGTATTCAGGAGGCTAGGGCGGTAGGATTGCTTGAGCCCAGGAGTTTGAGACCAACCTAGGTGGCAGAGTGAGACCCTGACTCAAAAAGAAAAAAAAAATCAGTGTTGTGTCTGTATACTAACACTGAGCTATCTAAAAGAAAACCCCAAAGCATAAAAAAAAAAAAAAATCCCATTAGTAATATTATCAAAGAGAATAAAATAGGAATAAATTTAACCAAGAAGATGAAATTTCTGTATACTGAAAACTACAAAACATTGAGGAAAGAAATTGAAGAAGACACAAATAAATGGAAAGATTTCTCATTTTCATGGTTTGGAAGAATTAATAGAGTCATGCACCACATAACAGCACTTCGGTGTTGGCCCACATATCTGGTGATCTATAAGACTCTAATGAAACTGAAAAATTCCTATTGACTAGTGACATAGCCACTGTTATAGCAAAGTGCAACACATTACTCACGTGTTTGTGGTGATGCTCGTGTAAACAAACCTGCATTGCCAATCATATGAGTATAGCACATAAAGGCCAGGTGCAGTGGCTCACGCCTGTAATCCCAGCACTTAGGGAGGCCGAGGCGGGTGGATCACGAGGTCAAGAGATCGAGACCATCCTGCCCAATACGGTGAAACCCCCGTCTCTACTAAAAATTCAAAAACTAGCTGGGTGTGGTGGCGCGCACCAGTAGTCCCAGCTACTCGGAAGGCTGAGGCAGGAGAATCGCTTGAACCTGGGAGACAGAGGCTGTAGTGAGCCGAGATTGTGCCACTGCACTCTAGCCTGGCAACGGAGCAAGACTCTGTCTCAAAAAAAAAAGTATAGCACATAAAATAATGTGCAGTGCGCAATACTTGATGATTATAATAAACAACTATGTGACCAGTTTATGTATTTCCTATACTATAAGTTTTACTGTTATTTTAGAGTGTACTCTTTCTACTTATTTTTAAAAAATTAACTATAAAACAGCCTCAGGCAGGTCCTTCAGGAGGGATTCCAGAAGAAGGCATTGTTATCATAGGAGATGACAGCTCCATGCCTGTTTGTGCCCGTGAAGACCTCCCAGTGGGACAAGATGTGGAGGTGGAAGACAATAATATTGATGATCCTGACCTGTGTAAAGGTAGGCAAATATGCGTGTTTATGTCTGAGTTTTTAGCAAAAAAGTTTAAAAAGTAAAAAATATATAAAAATTTTAAAAATAGAAGAAAGGTTACAGAATAAGGATATAAGGAAAGAAGCTATTTTTGTATAGCTTTAAAATGTGTTTGTGTTTTAAGCTAAGTGTTATTGCAAAACAGTCAAAAAGTTTTAAAAAATTTTAAAGATGAAGTAAAAAAGTTACAGTAAGCTAAGGTTAATTTTTTATTAAAGAAAAAATATTTTTTACAACTCTAGCGCAGCCTATGTGTACAGTGTTTATACAGTCTGTAGTAGTGTACAGTGATGTCCTAAGCCCTCACATTCACCCATCACTCACTCACTGACTCACTCAGAGCAACTTGAGTCCTGCAAGCGCCATTCACGGTAAGTGCCTTATACAGGTGGACCATTTTTTATCTTTTATACAGTGTTTTTACTTTTTCTATGTTTAGATATGTTCAGATGCACAAATACTTACCACGGTGTTACGGTTACCTACAGTATTAAGTACAGTAACATGTACCAGTTTGTAGCCTAGGAGCAACAGGCTATCCCACATAGCCTAGGTGTGTAGTAGCCTATCCCATCTAGGTTTGTGTAAGTACACTCTATGATTTCACACAATTATGAAGTCGCCTAATAATGAACTTCTCAGAAGATATTCCTGTCCTTAAGTGACACATGACTGCATTGTTAAGATGACCCCATTACCCAAAGTGATCTACGGAGTCAATGTCATCCCTACTAAAATTCCAGTGTCATTTTTACAGTAATAGAACACAAATCCTAACTTTCATATGGATTTTAGTACTTCTGATCTCCAGAATTGTAAGATAATCTGTATTGTTTTAAGACTAGGAAATTAATACTATTCTGTAGACTTTATCAGTGGCATTATACATACTCACCTACTTAACAGAGTGCTAGCTGGGAAAAGGTGTCTGTAAAGAGCTTTATGAGGTGATGCTCAACTGGGACAGAAAGGGAATTCTATAAACAGATCGGGTGATGTTAGGGAACTTAAATTATTCATTTATGTATGAATTGCCTTATGAATATTTATAAGCATATGTCTGAATATTATAAACATATCCAGATTTCATATATATAATATACACACACACACATACACACACACATCTCACACAAATACACACATACACACCATCTTGAGAGAGGTGTAAACAGAAGAGTGTGATATAAGAGTACTTAATCCATTTTAGAATTACACATGCCTTACGCAGACTTTCCCCATATAGTACTTGAAAAATTAAAGTGTTGCAAGGGTTAGTTTGGGAGAGGGGGAGATGGAGTTCTTGGGAGGTAAACCAATTAATAATTAGAATTATTTAAGTGAAATAATACAAACATGCACCGGTGTTTCATGGTGGAGTAGTTATTGACTTTATTGATTTTCTCTAAGAATATGAAAAATCTTAAACACGTTGTGGATATATCTGATCTTTGAGCAAAACTGAAAATGTTTTAACTTCTGCTTTAATATCATTAGGGTCAAAGCCAAGTGTATAAATAGATGCCTTGAGTTATGGTGCCAACTTGTAAACCTAAATTCCACCCCAATTACAATGTTTTGAGGAGCACAAATCACTGAGATTCTCCTAGCCAAAATAACACCCTTTACTCTCATCATGATGACCGAAGTTCAATTAGGAGCCATTTATTTCTGTAAGACCTCTAGTCTTCATCTTCTCTCAAAATGTCAACACCCACAGGCTGGGTAGCTTTCAAGGGGGTTCTCACCAACTACCATAACAGGAATAACCACTGAAGAATCCTTTTTAGGGCAGTAGGTGGTGAGAAGGGAGGGTAATATTAAAAGGACGCAGAGGACACCAGAATCTGCTGAACACTGGCCATAGCCACAGTCTAAGAACTCTATTGTGGCCGGGCGCGGTGGCTCACGCCTGTAATCCCAGCATTCTGGGGGGCCGAGGTGGGCAGATCATGAGGTCAGGAGATCGAGACGATCCTGGATAACACGGTGAAACCCTGTCTCTACTAAAAGTACAAAAAATTAGCCAGGTGTGGTGGCAGGCACCTGTAGTCCCAGCTACTTAGGGGGCTGAGGCAGGAGAATGGCGTGAACCCGGGAGGCAGTGCTGCAGTGAGCCGAGATTGCGCCACTGCACTCCAGCCTGGGCGACAGAGTGAGACTCTGTCTCAAAAAAAAAAAAAAAAAAAAAAAAAAAAAAAAAAAAAAAAAAAAGAACTCTCTTGTTACCAAACTTTGCTGCAAGCAAAATTGTGAAATAATTACTGCTAGTTGCATTAAATGCATTATTTCACCTTATCCCTACAACAGACCCACTTAAAAAGTGCTAATGAGATTCCAAATTTACAGGTGCATAAAATGAGGCATAGAGCTAGAAGTTGAAGAGTCAGTACTAAGTGCCAGGTCCGTGGGCCTCATTACTCTGCCTGTATTTATCCTATGAAGATTATCTTGGGCACCGGCCTCTTCCTTCACTGTGCCCTGACTTTCCATCTCAGATGCTCTGTGCTCTCCTGTCACCCTGTTGCTTGCACCCTCTCACTTAAGAGTCTCCATTATGATGGGTTCCAGACCCCTCCCTGAACTCCCTTCCACAGTGGCAAAGCTGGGGGTGGTTTAACTCCAGGTAGGTTGCAGATGGAACTGAGAGACTCCACAGGGCTAACATGCACTTAGCAGGAAGTCCAAAGAAGGAGAAAGGTAGCACCGTGCTGATTTAGTGCTATGCAACAAGCCAAGGCAATACCTGGAGTTATTTGGCAGCCATTGAAGGCCTCCCCTGCTCAGGGTACTGTGGTAGGTGCTGGGCAATTGCAGCCAGAGCTGGGAAAGTCTGAGACTGTGCAGTGGGGACACAGCCACATGAAGCAAGACTTTAAGGTAAGAGAAATAGAGCACAGAAGAGCCTATTGTTCTAGGATCCAAAATAGTGATTCTGTATTAGAATTGGAGTACAAGAAACAAAGCAAGAGCTTAATTACTAGAATAGGACTTAAGGTGAGAGTTGGCCAAGCAGCAACCTTGACCTCAAACTACTCAGCTGTGTTTGAATTTCTGCCGGATTAGTAGGGCTCAGCCTGCAGCGGATGCTCCTGTAGCCCAAACCATTGTTTTTCAAACTACAGGTCATGACCTGTCCAGTGATCATGGAATTGGTTTCATGGGTGGCAGTTAGCACTCTTTAAAATAAATAAAATAGACTAGAAAAGAAAATAACAAAGTGCATTGCATGTCGTAAGGATTTCAGCGTTAGGTACACGTGTCTTATGTTGTGATGTAAAATTTATTTCTTAATGTTACTGTCAAAAAAAGCTTGAAAACTCCTGGTTTGAAACTCATGGATATAGGGCAGAAAGCCAGGTTAGTCATTATGTTTAAAATATTTTCTGCTTTTCCCAGATGACTGTGAGCTAATGTAATGAACCAATCCAGGCTGCGGTGTGGCTAGATATGAATGAATTAAGGCGTACAGCTTCTCTCATGGAGATTTTCCACATATAGCCCTGCTTGAGAAACAGAATTGTGGAATAAAGATGGAATACTTTAAGATTTTATCTTTTCTAGAGCAGTTTTAGGTTTGCAGCGAAAATGAGAAGAAGATACAAAGATATCCTATATGCCCTCTACTCCCCTACATGCACAGCCTCCCCTATTATCAACACCCCCCACCAGACTCACAGCTATGAACCTACATTGACACATCAGGATCACACAAAGTGCAGAGTTTACATTAGGGTTCACTCCTTTTTTTTGAGACAGAGTTTCCCTCTTGTTGCTCAAGCTGGAGTGGCTGGAGTGCAATGGTACAATCTCGGCTCACTGCAACCTCCACCTACCGGTTTAAGTGATTCTCCTGTCTCAGCCTCCCAAGTAGCTGGGATTATAGGCGCCTGCCTCCATGCTTGGCTAATTTTTTTGTATTTTTAGTAGAGACAAGGTTTCACCATTTTGGCCAGGCTGATCTCGAACTCCTGACTTCAGGCGATCCACCGGCCTCAGCCTCCCAAAGTGCTGGGATTACAAGCATGAGTCACCCGCGCCCAGCCAGGGTTCACTGTTGATGTTGTACCTTCTGGGGGTTTGGTCAAATGCATAGTGACATGCATCCACCATTATAGTATCATACAGAGTAGTTTCACTGCCCTCAAAACATCCTCTGTGCTCTACCTGTTCATCCCTCCCTCTCCCAAACACCTGGCAACAACTGATATTTTTATAGTCTCCATAGTTTTGCGTTTTCCAGAATGTCATACAGTTGGAATCACACTGCATGCAGACTTTTCAGATTGGCTTCTTTCATTTAGTAATATGCATTTAAGTTTCCGCTATGTCTTTTCATAGCTTGATCACTCGTATCTTTTCAGTGCTGAATGAATTCCATTGTCTGGATGTACCACAGCTTATTTACCCATTCACCTGCTGAAGGACATCTTGATTTCGTCCAAGTTTCAGCAATTATGAGTACAGCTGCTATAAATATCCATGTGAGGTTTTTGTGTAGACATAGCTGTCAACTTCTGTGGGTAAATATGAAGAAGTGAGATTGCTGGATTGCATGGTATGAGTGTGATTAGTTTTGTAAGAAACCACCAAACTGTCTTCCAAAGTGGCTACACCATTTTATATTACCACCAACAGTAAGTGAGAATTCCTGTTGTTCCATGTCCTCACCAACATGTGGTGTTGTCAGTGTTCTGGATTTTGGCTATTCTAACAGGTGTGTAGTGGTATTTTACTGTTGTTTTAATTTGAATTCCTGAGGCATATGATGTGGAGCATCTTTTCATATGCTTATGTACCTTATGTGTATCTTCTTTGGTGTCGTGTCTGTTAAGGTCTTTGGACCCTTTTAAAATCAGGCTGTTTTCTTATTGTTGAGTTTGATTTCTTTGTATGTTTTTGATAATGGTCCTTTACCGTATATGTCTTTTGCAAATATTTTCTCCCTGCCTGTGGCCTTGTCTTTTCATTCTCTTAATAGTGGCTTTCACAGAGCAGAAATTTTTAATTTTAATGAAGTTCAGCTTATCAATTGTTTCTTTCATGAATTGTACCTTTGGTATATTAAATAAAAGTTACCACCAAACGCAAGACTATTCAGATTTTCCACTACGTTATCTTCCAGGAGTTTTATAGTTTTGTGTTTTATGTTTAGGGCTGTGATCCATTTTGAGTTAATTCTTGTGAAGTGTGTAAGATCTGTGCCTAGATTTTTTTCCAGTTGTTCCAACACCATTTATTAAAAAGAATATCTTTTCTCCATTGTATTCCCTTTGCTCCTTTGTCAAAGATCAATTGACTATGTTTACATGGCTCTATTTCTAGGCTCTCTATCCTATTCATTGATCTATTTGTCCATTATTTTGCCAATACCACATTGTCTTAATTATTATAGCTTTATTGTAACAGTTGAAGTCAGGTAGCCTCAGTCCTCCAACTTTGTTTGTTGTTCTTCAATATTGTGTTGGTTAATTTGAGTCAATTGCCTCTTTGTATAAACTTCAGCATTCATTTGTCAATAGCTACAAAGTAATTGGCTGGGATTTTGAATTGAATTCTATTGAATCTATAGATCAAATTGAGAAGAATGGACATTCTGACAATATTGAGTCTTCCTATTGATGAATATGTAATATCTTTCCATTCATTTAGTTCTTTTTTAATTTCTTTCATCCAAGTTTTATCAATTTTCTCATACTTTTATACATATTTTGACTTATACCTAAGTATTTCATTTTGGGGGATGCTAATGTAAATAGTATTGTATTTTTAATTTCAAATTCCATGTGTTCACTGTTGGCATATAGGAAAGTGATATGGTTGGATGTTTTGTCCCCTCCAAATCTCTTGTTGAAATGTGACCTCCAGTGTTGGAAATGAGCCTAGTGGGAGGTGTTTGAGTGATGGGGATGGATCCTCATGAACAGCTTGGTGCTGTCCTTGCTGTAATGAGTGAGTTCTCGCTCTACGAATTCACACGAGATCTGGTTGTTTAAGAGAGCCTGGCACCTCCCTCTTCTTGCTTCCTCTCTCAACATATGATATGCTGGCTCCCCTGTTTGCCTTCTGCAATGATTGAAAGCTTCCTGAGGCCTCATCAAGAGCAGATGCCAGCACATGCTTCTCCTACAGCCTGTAGGACCATGAGCCAAATAAACCTCTTCTTTATAAATTACCCAGCCTCAGGTATTTCTTTATAGCAATACAAATGAACTAACACAGAAAACTGGTACTGAGGAGAGGGGTGTTGCTGTAAAGATACCTGAAAATGTAGAAGCATCTTTGGAACTGGGTAATGGGCAGAGGTTGAAAGAGTTTGAAGGGATCAGAAAAAGATAGGAAGATACAGGAAAGTTTGGAACTTCTTGGAGACGTATCAAGTGGCTATGGCCAAAATGCTGATGGAAATTTGGACAGTGAAGGCCAAGTTGACAAGGTCTCAGATGGAAATGAGGAATTTATTGGGAACTAGAGCAAAGGTCATCCTTGATACACCTTAGCAAAGAATTTGGCTGCACTGTGTTGATGTCCTAGGGATTTGTAGAAGTTTGAACTTAAGAGTAATGGCCTAGGGTATCAGGCAGAAGAAATTTTTAAACAGCAAAGCATTCAAGATGTGGCATGGCTGCTTTTAACAGCCTATAATCAGATACAGGAGTAAAGAAATGACTTAAAGTTGGAACTTATAATTGAAAGGGAAGCAGAGAGTAAAAGTTTGGAAAATTTGCAGCCTGGTCATGTGGTAAAGAAGGAAATAGTGTTTTTAGGAGAGAAATACAAGCTGGCTGTAGAGTAATCATTTGTTAGTGAGATTTGCATGACTGAAAGGGAGCCAGATGCTAATAGACAAGACAGTAAGAAAAATGCCTCAAAGGCATTTCAGAAGTCTTTGAGGCTGCCCCTCTCATCATAGGCCCAGAGGCCTAGAGGAAAGAAAGGCTTGGGGGGCCAGACCCAGGGGCCTGCTGCCCTACACCACCTTGGGACAATGTTTCTTGCATCCAGGCCACCCAGTTTCCAGCCAGAACTCAAAGGGCACCAGGTGCATCTCAAACTGCTGCTCCAGGGGGCACAAGCCATAAGCCTTGCTGGCTTCCATGTGTTGTTAAGTCTTCAGGTGCACAGAATGCAATAATGAAGGAGGCTTGTCAGCTTCTCCATAGATTTCAGAAGATGTATCAGAAAGCCTGGGTGCCCAGCAGAAGGCTGCCGCAGGGGTGGAACACTCGCTGACTCTACTAGGGCAGTGCCAAGGGGAAATATGGAGTTGAAGGCCCCACATACAGTCCCCACCAGCACACTGCCTCATGGATCTGTGGAAAAGGGGCTGCCACCCTCCAGACTCCAGAGTGGTAGAGCTATCAGCAGCTTAGACATTGAGCCTGGCAAAGCTGCAGACACTCAACTCCAACACCTGAGAGAAGCCATGGGGGCTACACTCTGCGAAGCCACAGGGGCAGGCAGCTGCCCAAGGCCTTGAGATCCCACTCCTTTAATCAGTGTGCCCAGGATGCAAGACATGGAGTCAAAGGATATTATTTTGGAGTTTTAAGGTTTAATGACTGCCATGCTGGGTTTCAGACTTGTGTGGAGCCCATTGCCCCTTTTTTTTTGGCTGATTATCCCCTTTTGGTCTGGGAATTTTTACCCATTGTCTGTACCAGCACTGCATCTTGGAAGCAGATAGCTTGTTTTTTTATCTTACAGGCTCATAGATAGGTGGAACCTACCTTGGGTCTCAGACAAGACTTTGGACTTTTGATTGAGATGATGCTGAGTTTGAATGAGTTAGGACTTTGGGGGACTATTGGGAAGGGATGATTGTATTTACAATGAGAGAAGAACATGAGATTTGGGGGTCCATGTGCTGAATGATATGGTTTGCATGTTTTTTCCCCTTCAAATCTCATGTTGAAATGTGACCTCCAATGTTAGAGGTGAGCCTAGTGAAAAGCGTTTGGTTTAGGGGGTGGATTGCTCATGAATGCCTTGGTTCTGTCCTTGTGGTAATGAGTGAGTTCTCACTCTGTGAATTCACAGGAAATCTGGTTGTTTAAAAGAGCCTGAAACCTCCCCTGCCTCACACCCTCTCTCATCATGTGACACATACTGGCTCCCCCTTTTGCCATCTACCATGATTGGAAGCTTTCTGAGGCTTCACCAGGAGCAGGTGCCAGCACCATGCTTCTCATACAGCCTGCAGAACCATGAGCCAATATAAGCCTCCTTTCTTTATAAATTACCCAGCCTCAGGTATTCCTTTATAGCAATGCAAATGGACTAACTTAGAAAGTGATTGATTTTCGTATACTAACCTGGTATCCTGCAATCTTGCTATATTTGTGTATTAGTTCCAGAAGTTTTCTGTTGATTCTTTTGCATTTTCTATGTAGACAGTCATGTCATCTATAGAAAAAGTTTTATTTCTTCTTCCCAATCAGTACACCTTTTATTTCCTTTTTGGTCTTATTGTATTGCTAGAACTTCCAGTATAATGTTGAAAAGGAATGGTGAGTGGGGACATCCTTGCCTTATTCTTGATCTTAGTGAGAAAGCTTCTCGTTTCTCACCGTCAAGAATAGTGTTGGCTATGGATTTTCTGTAGATAGTCTTTATCAAATTGAGGAAGTTCACCTCTATTCCTAGTAAGATTGAACACTTTTAAAACTAAATGAGCTCTCAGTTGTTTCAATACTTTCAGGGTTATTTACATGTTAACAAAGGTATCACACTGATCGGTAGTCTGTGAGTCATTGTACTATTTTGCCTTCAGTAGGCAGTAAACTAGAGCTAGTTTTGGGGACTTTGCTCTGGCCAGCATGGCAGTGCTGTTTCATGGCTAAGTCGTGAGCTTTTCACCTCTTGGTTTATCTCAGTAGCTAATGCCAGTGAATCCAAACTCTGGATCCTGAAATCTTTCTTTGTCTTCAATTCCATATCTTCAATTACTCAGTAGACATTGTCACTTCAGATCTCTTTCCCCATCCAATCCTATCCAAAAATTTTGTCTTCTTTCCCCAAACAAGCAAGCATCTCCTCTCTCTTCTGTCTTTATTAATGACACTAACATCCTTTCAATAATCCACATTTTAAAGTTTGGGATCATATTTACTTCTCTTCTTTTATTCATTCCCTTGATACATGTACATATACTCTCAAGATAGAATAAATATTTGTTGAGGTATGGTCTTCTTTGTCTTAGGTTTCCCATTTCTAATTTCTACCTCATATCAGTACCAGAGAAAGCTTTTCTAAAGCCATCTCTATCATGCTATTTCTCCTCTGCAAATAAGTGACTCTCATTTCCTGCTACATTTCCTGCCAGAATGCATTTCCTTGCATTGTTTTCTGGCTTTTTCCATTCTTCACCTCAAACTCCTTCTCTCTGCCTCCCAGATTTAAACTTATTTCCAGTTATTTATTTAACAAACACTTAAATCGCACTTCCTCTGCTGCAGGAACTGTTCTAAATGCTTTAAAAAATCTTAAATCTTTAACCCACATTAAAAACTCTGTGAAACAGTATTATTACCCGCCACGTTACACGTGAGATACCTGAGGCACAAATTGGTCTATTAACCTCAGAATGTCTAGAGTCCTAGAGTTCATCTCACTATTTTCCAGGTATTTTGTATGCCAGGGACTGAATGTTTTTGTCCCTCCAAAATTCACATATTGAAATCCTAATCCCCAGTGTGATGGTCTTAGGAAGCGGGACCTTTGGTAGGTAATTAGGTCTTTATACATGGAATTAGTGCCCTTTTAAAAGCTCTGGAGAGCTCCCCCGCCCTTTCCACTATATGATGACACAATGAGAAGGCAGCAGTCTATGAACCAGGAAGTGGGCCCTCACCAGTCACCGAATCTGCAATGCCTTGACGTTGGACTTCTCAGTCCCTAGAACTGTGAAAAATAAATTTCTGTTGTTTGTAAGCCACCCAGTTTATGGTTTTCTGATACAGCAGCCTGACTGGTCTAAGACAGACAGAAAGGGACATAGTTATTCTACCTGCAATGTTGTTTCCCTCACCTGAAATGCCACCCCATCTACCTGGTAGTTATAAAGATCCTCATCTTTCTTTCTTTCTTTTCTTTTCTTTTTTTTTTTTTTTTTGAGATTGAGCCCCACTCGGTCACCCAGGCTGGAGTGCAGTGGCACAATCTCTGCTCGCTACAACCTCCGACTCCCAGGTTCAAGCAATTCTCCTGCCTCAGCCTCCCGAGTAGCTGGGACTACAGGAACCCGCCACCACGCCCAGCTAATTTTTTAATATTTTTAGTAGAGACAGGGTTTTGCCGTGTTGACCAGGCTGGTCTCAAACTCCTGACCTCAGGTGATCCACCCGCCTCGGCCTCCCAAAGTGCTGAGATTATAGGCATGTGCCATCGTGCCCAGCCCTACCCATCTTTCAAAGCCCAATTTTTGGCATTCACCCATCTCCTTGGTGACTTATCTTTCTTAAAAACTCCAGGTTTCTTATTGTTTATCTCCACTTATTCCTACAGTCTTCTACACGTAAGTTGCCACTTTATCATATAGCTATATTATGTCTCCCTTACGTTTCATTCATGTGCAATTGTCTTGTCTTGGAAGCAAAGACCATAGCATGTAAGTGTTTTCTATTCCTCCCTTTTGCTTCTTTACTTCTTTGCCCTCTTTATCCTTCCTCCCACCCATCCAATCCTTAAAAATATTGAGTACATAAAAATATTACAGAAATAATGAATTGACATTAGCAGTCATCATTTTATAGGGAGAAAGGGGAAGCCTAGTGCATTGGTTTGGATCCTCTGAGAAGCAGATAACAAGACAGAATTAGCCATGCAAGAGATTTATTGGGGTAAATGTCTGTGATGGAAAAAGAGGAGAGAGTCCATAGAAGTGGGGACAGTATTTAGAACACAATGCTGGAAGACTCTTGTAAAAAAGAGGAGGAAGGGTGGGGCAGGGAGAATCTCAGACTGCAGCAGAGTTCCAAGAAAGTCCCCATCCAGTGACTGTGGAGTCCTCAAGCTAATGTCAGAAAGAGGAGACTGGCCCTTCTCAGGAAAAGGTTGCATTGGGACCCTGCAGAGCCAGAAAAATCACTGGCTGTAGCAGCTTGGGGGAAATGTGGCCTGGGCATGAACACAGAGATAGACTTGGAGTACAGCAGTCATGGCCATTGGTGATATATACTCATGACAGCAGAAGATCTGAGCAGCACATTTTTGTGACCATCCCTTCTGGAACGTTGGAAAGAATGCTAATTCTGAATCCAAAATCTTAACTTTGGATCCCTTACTGACTCTGCACCTTCACTTAAATTCTTATCTACATCTCTTCATTTGTAAATGGAAATGACCAATAGCTTACTGGGTATGATGATTAATTTTGTGTGTCACC